>NC_000005.10:84655261-84958291 GCF_000001405.40 Homo sapiens
CTGTAGTTGGAGTTTGGAATTTAGGTAAATGTAGGACACATATAGGTTTAAGCAACGACAAAAGTAATTTAGTTTGTCCAGTTACCATTTCACCTTTCTTCTAGTGTGTTCTATCATATTGTAGAAACTGGAAGGCTTAAAATTGCATTCATATAACTCCCTCATGGCCAGAGTGTTCTAGGTATGAATTAAAGCCCAACAATTAGCTGCTCTCATGTAATTCTAAATGAAGAAATAAAGTGGAGCCATGTTTTTACTATTGCTATTTTCTGCTTGCAAGCAAAACTGTGACAACATGATATTGTGGCAAAATTCTGGTGTCCATTCTCAGGCTTCTTGTATGCTGAGAGACAGCTGAGGCAGAGCAGTCGTAAGGTTTTATGTTCCAATATCTTTTATCAGCTTATGTGTGTCTAGAAAGAGTAGTGGTGGTAGCACACCACAGACAATAGCTTCTCCAGACTGCAGTTTTATAATCTGAGATTATAGCTAAGCGGTATGGTCTTTAACTCAATAGTTCTATTGTATTCTCAGAGGTAGTAGTTCTCTGGTACAGTAGTTTTGCAGATTTCTTAGTAATTCCTGAGGCTCAGTCTAGGGTCCATTACTTCATCCCTTCCAATGATTTTGTAGGTACCTATTTACCTATATTAAATCTCTCTCTTCCTTACTTACAATGGATAGCTTCTATTTCTCAAATTGAAATTTAATGCAAGGGTGGACTCTATCCAATGGAAATCTCTTATTATTTTGCAGAGCTTCTTAATAGATTTCAATATGCAGAAGTGTGTTTCAAAAAGATTTTGGCAGTAGAAACTAGGAAGGAATTAATTACTCTGCAAAATGAAAAGAAAATAATTTCAAGATCCTGGGTTATTCACACAATAGAAGTGATGGAGAAGAAATTATTTAATGAAATAACATAAACACAGGGAAACAATAAGAAGTGTAATGAACTGAGGAATGGCTGAAGAAACTTACATAAAGAGGTGTAGTAATATCTGCATTGACATGTTTTTAAAAATCTCCATCTTACCTCTCTCTTAGCCTTCCCAATAACTTAAGTGAAGTCTATTCTATTTACAAATTACCTGTGAGTCTGAACTTTTTCAGAAAACTGAGACAAAGCCAAGTTTTATATCTTGGTTGACCAAAACTGAAACAGACAGAAGTTTCAGGGTTGAGATATAATACATAAACCTTTTAAGGCAAGGAAAAGGCATTTAGATTGAGAGGTGATTGTGAGATTACAAGCCCTTAACAATTCAAAGAAATCTTTGACAAGGTTTGATCTTCCACAGGTTGTGGAAAGGTGAATTCAGAGTGATGTATATACATGCTAGAAAGCATCATAAAAATAGGGAAATTTTATCTACTTGATGTTCTTCTGCTTTATTTTCCTTAAATAACTTAATCTTCCTGGAAATCTTGTAAGAAAAATATTAAAAGCAGTTAAGACAAATATTACATCATCTTAGCATTGATAAATTAAACAGAAGAAAAAGATTTAAAAGAAGTTCTTTAAGTATTCACTCTTTAACTCATAAATTTATGCCTAAGTATTTTTTAATACTTCTCTGCTAATACCCAAGGGTATACAGTGGAATAAGATAAAGTGCTAGTGCTCTGAAGCAGTGGTCCCTAACCTTTTTGGCACCAGGGATGGGTCTGGGGGTGGGGAGGGAGGATGGTGTGGGGATGAAACTGTTCCATCTCAGATCATCAGGCATTAGTTAGATTCTCATAAGAAGTGCACAACCTAGATCCCTTGCATGTGGAGTTCATAATAGGGTTTGGGCTCCTATGAGAATCTAATGTGGCCACAGATCTTTCAGGAGGTGGAGCTCAGGTGGTAATGCCCACTGGCCAGCTGCTCATCTCCTGCTGTGTGGGCCAGTTCCTAACAGATCATGGAATGGCCCCCCGGGGGTTGGGGATTGCTGCTCTAAAGGGTCAAATGCTTAGACAGATTTGCTTCTTAAGAAGCAAATACCACACCGATAAAAGAATTAACTATAGGAAAATGAAGTGTGTTAGAAAAAGCCAGACGAGGAGAATTCATAGAGCTCAATGGCAATGGCACTGAAGTGTTTAAAGATTGCAAAGTAGTTAGACTAAGTATAGAAGAGGGAAAAGACTTAGTCAAGCAGAGAGAGTAGTATCTGCAAAGACATATGAATTTTAAAGCTTGTTCTCCATTACAAAAATTGCAAATAGTTTAGCTTGGCTGGAGAACAAAGTCAATGTTGCAGAGTAAAAGGGTGCTACATATGAGTCCAGAGAATTGAAAAGGAAATAAATAATGAAAGAGTTTATATTTTATTCACAAGGCAATAGTAAGCAGTCAAAAAATTTATATGAGTGATGTTATGTTATTGTATGAAAAGTAACTTGAAATGTTTAAGAGGCAAGGAGGGCAGTTCATGATATGTCATAATAATCCAATCGCAATGAATAAGGACATGGAGTTAAATAGTGCCAGTTATGATGAAGACAGCTACTAATTCTAGAGCCATTGAGAAAGAAAAATAAACAGGACCTAACAACGAATATGAGTAGAAAGAAAAGCAAAGAGACAAGGATAAATTCTAGGTTTCTGTCTTGTAGTTAAGAGTTGATATAAGGGTGGTAGTTATAAATACAGAGGTTACTGGAGTTAAAAAAAAAAAGAAGGAATAGTTTTTGGTCCTAATGATTTCTGAAATTATTTGTTACACTGGACTAAAACATAAAGCATAAAGCTTTTGTGTCCCTAGGGCTCAGAAAACATTTCATGGTAAATTAGCATGCAGATAATTACAGCTGCCTCTTCTTTTTAAACACTTAGTCTCAGCAGGCAAGTGTGTTTGCATGTGTAATAAATGCTCCCTCCCAAAATCATTGTCTATGAGGACAAGCCCTGTTTTATTAGAGACAGAAAACACTTACAGTTAAATGAGTTATAGATCTCCCGCTATTCTATGCAGCAAGTAAAACAAACAATAGATATAGGTATTATGTATTAAGATGTAAGAATTATTTAATGTGACAAGATGTGTCTAATATAAACAAGATCTACCCATTCATGTATTCATTCATTCTCAGTGGGCAGAAGTAGCCAAGTATCACAATAAATTATTTTACTGAAGTAAAATAATTAAATAGACCCAATTTTGATGAGAAATTAGCCAATAATTAGAGAAGGCCTTAAATGCTAGTGAAGTGTCAGGTAGAGCAGAGAGGAATCCATCCATATTTCTTTTTTTAAATTTAATTATTTTATATTTTTTGGAGAGATAGGATCTCCCTATTTTGCCAAGGCTAGTGTTGAACTCCTGGTCTCAAGAAATCTTCCTGCATTGGCCTCCCAAGGTGTTGAGATTACAGGCATGAGCCACCATGCCCAGCTCATTCATATTCCTTGTTCTGTAATGGCATGTCCATAGTTTTGTTAATTTGCAACATATTCTTTCTTAAAAAATGGAATTAGATTTTCATGTCCCAGAGGAAAATAATACAATATACGTTGGAGAGGGTGAATTATTTATGAGGTAAAGAAATCAATGACTCATGATCCTTGCAGGTGGAAAAACTGACCTAGAATTGGAGATCCCACTTACCACTTGTTCACAGCCTGGCATCTCTCTTTTATTTATGAGATGAGTAGAGGTGGATATCATTGCTTATACAGCTAAATTCCAGGTATTGGACTGTAACAAAGATTCAGGGGGCTATCCAAGATATTTACCTGTAAATTAGGTAGACATTTTCCAGAAGAAGGTGAATGACTTCTATTGGACAAAGACATTTAGAGAGATAGATGCATTGGTAGAGACATGCAGACCTACGAGAGAATTCACAAGATCTATTCCTTTTGTGAAGGCCTTTATCTTAAATCTTCCACTCTTGTTTGGTACTAGGAAAAGTTTAAGTCAGCTAGAATTTCCACCTAATCCTTCCTGTATTATAGTTTTCTTCTATAATTCACTTTACCTTTTAGCAATACATTTTATATTTGAATTCCAGTCCAATGCATCTGTCCTCTGAAACCTGATATGATACAATGGTTTGGTTCTGCTTCATCCAATTTCCTTCAGGGCTCAATGGAAGAAGGGGTGTTGTCCCATTCAGTGGTCCACAACATGAAGAATAGTGGCTATAATTAGTAGTGGGGCAACTTACAACATGGAAGTATCAGGAAGAAGACATGTAAAAGTAGCCAGAAAATTAAGCCTTTTAATTGGCTGGGTAGGTTAGCGGCAATTACGCTTAAAAAAGAGTGGTAGATATTAGACTAACACATTCAATAAACTGTCCTCTGAGCCAAGCCAGGTGTTTAGTGCTATGAATATATGGAGAAAGAAAATAGATCCCACCCTCAAAAAGTTCACAGTTCCTTAGAAAAGTAAAAGAATATAAATGTAAGGTTATATTTTTATAAGGTTAAAATGAAGGGTTGTAAGCATGAAGAAGAAGGTACTCACAGAGTGACAAGAGCCCAGGGAATAGGACATTTAATATTTGATGGGCAGGAGTAAGACAATTTCAAGAGGAATTAAAACTTCAGGAATAGCTTAAAGAATGAAATATAAATTCTCATAAATTATAAAAGCATAGTCCTTCCTGTTCTTGTTTGTTTTTGGACAAAGTTTAATGTTTATTCCTTGAAAAAGTAAATATGAAGTTTGTTAGTTTCCTTTAAAGAAACAAACTTCTAGGAAGATTCGTCAGAGAAAAAAAGAATACAGATAACTAACATCAAGAATGAAAATGGGGACATAATTACAGAACTAGAAGGGAGTAGAAAATTAATATGAGGGTCTTCATGACATGACATTTGAAAATTTAAATAAAATGAAGAATTTCTTTAATAACTCTTAAAAATTGAAAATAACTATAATGAGACAGTAGTTGACTCTGGTAATAATCTACTCAGTAAATAAACACTAAGCACTAATTGTTTTATAGGACTGTACTCCAAACTCTCAAGAATATTTTTTAAAAATTTTATTTTTAGCTTTTTCTTATTGACAGGTAAATTAAAATTATGAGGGAATTTAAAGTGAATAAACTTATTTGAGAATTATACTGTTATTATGAAGAAAACCTGAATTATATTATCAGTGAATGCTTGTTTCCCCATATAATTTCCCAATTTTTATCTTATTCAGAAACCAGGCCATCTAGCTGCTATATCTTGATGTTCTCCCCTTTTTGGGGCATCCAAACTCTTTCCTGTTTTCTCTTTCCTCCTACTTTTATGTTCTTTCATTGTTAAATCTTCTCAGAGTCCTGGCTTTCTCTAGGGCTCCAGCCATAGATTTCATTCTTTTATCATTTTAAATGACCTCACAGACTTTTCTTGTCAATGTCACAGGTTTTAACAATTATTTCTGGGTAAATTCCCTACCCCTCAATTCTTCTGTTGGCTTTGGATCTTAATATCATCCTGTTCAAACTGAGATTTGCCTCCAAACTTATTCTTCATTTTATATTTTCTCTCTTGATGAAATTGTCACTATTCTTTCAATTATTCTATAAAAACCTGTATACTGAAATGCTTTCTCTCCCTCAGCCCTCAAATACCATTAATTGTGTAAGATTCTCTCTTCTAAATCTTTCTCTAGCCTTAGTCCCATCTTAATTTTTACTTCTGTTGCCTTAATTCAGGTCCTCAGTATCTTCAGTTTGAAAAATTGAAATAATTAGTTAGTCTCTCTGACATCATTCACTTCCACATATAATCCATCTTCCACAAGAGTGATCTTAATAAAAATTAAAATGTCATTCTATCTGTTGCTTAAAAGCCTTCAGTGACTGCCATTTATTTGCCTAAGTGATAAACACTAAATTCCTTAGAAACTGACTCCAGCTCCAGGTGCTACACAAATTGGCCACTGTGTTCTCTTGCCAACCTTAGATCAAAATATCTCTGCTCCTGGCCCCACTGTGGTTTATGGTCTAATAAATTTAAAATACACAGTATTGCCTTCTCCTCCTTTTAGTATACACACACTCTAACAGGGCATTTTTATTTCCTTGGCTTTGATTACCACTTCTATGTTGATGACTCCCAAATCTATATCTCCCTCCAGTATATATTTCCTGGACTCCAGACAGGGACATCAAACTGCAATGTTTATTTCTGCTAAAGTGTACTGCAGCTATCTCAAACCCAGCATTTCTGCAATTGGATTTATAATCTTCCACAAACCTATTGCATATAGCATTTTTAAGGATTTGTAGGAACATTTGTGTTATTATGGCAATACTTCATTTTATATATGTAGAAACAGGCTCAGAAAGGTTTATTTGTCAAGATGTTTTGTATTTTAGAAACATCAGCTTGAAGTAGATTTAATGAAAATGGTATAAATTATGTCCCATAATTCAAAGCTCAAAAGCCCTCATGAGATTTCAATTACTTCAATCTAGCTGCTTTTTGTATTCCCTCTCCCTCCACCATTCAGTTTAGATGTCTCCCTATTGTGGGCAATATGGCAGCCAAACTCTCTGGACTTATGTCATATCTTCTCAGCAGCCATTGGGTAAAAATAGAACTCTCTTCCCAAATGGTTAAAAAAAAAAAATTCCCAATGGAAAACGTTGTCAATCCATGAAAAATATGGAGCATGTACCCCTTCTGTGAAACAATAATGTGACCATGCAGATGGCCTATGTTAAGATATGTGTTATTTTGGAAAGCAGGAGATGAACCCTCAGTGGAACCATATGGATGTAGTAAGTGGTAGGAGTAATTTAGGAGATGGGAGGGGGGGATTATGAAACTGTTACCAGAACAAGGAGAAACAGATGCAAAGCAGGTGAAAGCAATAGCTACTTGCTCATAATTAAGTCAGCAAAGTGATCAGGCAAGAACTCAAACTCAGGTCATTTAGTTCCCATACTATCCTTGTTATGTTCTTCAATGAATACCTTCAGCTGTAACTTAGCAAATGGAGAGAGAGAGAGATGTAAAACAGAGCTCCTTATCTTAGGGAACTATAAATCTTATACTGTAGGTCAGTAGTTCCCAATCATTGCATCACCAACAACTTATAGTGTTTCCTCCTCTGAAAGCTATGACTTAAAAAAAGTAAATTTATAAATGACATTTATTATATAATAATTAAGAGATTGCTTATATTTTATTGATACAGTGCATTACTTTTTTTTTTAATAAAGGAAATTATTTACCTAGATTGAGAATGACTGTTTTTGGTGAAGAGCACTAAAAGCTAGTGAGCTGGGACATTGCTTCTGCATGACCTTTCTTGTCACAGAAATAGGTGGTTGGCCTTGTGTTTCTTCTGTGCCTCCTACATTTGTTTATTGGGCTCCAAACGTGTCTTTTCCTTTTACCCCTCATACGGATTTCTAACCCTCAACCCAACTAGTTTTCAGCCAGAATGTGGTATAAGAAGTAACTTACGATGGTGTGGTATTGATCACTAAGATGTTCACAAATGTGCTGTTTTTCTTCTGAGTAGGATTGCACTTTGCCACTCTCTTGACATTAGACATAGGCATGGGAGTCACTTTGGCTAACCAATTATAAGTGGTGGCATTTGCCATTTCCATGAGGAATTTTCAAAGCCAGTGTACAATCCAATGCCTTCCCCTTTCCTTCCCTAGCAGTCATGGAGACATGTGAGGAGATGGAGTCTCCATTAGCCTTTGTTCCTGAGAGACTACGATGCGCAAAGCCCTCTGCCAACCTACATTAGACTTGTAGCATGAGAGAGAAACACTTTTTGTTGTGGTGTTTGGTTACTGAAATTTTGGAAAGTGTCTGTTATTGTAACGTAACATAGCCTATTCAGACTGAATCAAGCATATTCCCTAAACCACCCAGGTATGTACCCCTTTCCAGTGGTATTTACAGTTTTAGAAAATGCTTGGAAAGAATCCAAAGGAAAGAATACATAGTGGTAGAATTTTAACATTTGGGAGTCCTAAAAAGTATTAATATTTGAAGGGTTCTACATTAGGCAAATACTCTACTGTTTGTTAGGGATCCATAAAAAACAAAACAAGAAAACTAAAGAAAAAACAGTCATAGAATTTGAATTTGGGCACATGCCCATGAGGATTTTGTTTTATCTCATTATTTTCTGAAGCAAATATATACTTAGACATGCCCACATTTTTAAAAAATAAAATATGGAAACTACCAAATGGAAGGAGTTGTTGCTCATTTACAGTAACTTCCAATTTAGTGACATCCAGAACATTAAAAAAAAAAAAAATTTGGATCCCTCTGCTTCTGTTCAAAATTCTGTCTTGAAGAAAAGAACATGATGAACTGCCCTTGAGTTGCTGTGACAAGGGAAATAAAACTTTATTATCTCTCTCTAAAGTTAGTTAGGGAAGGTTCTTCAGCCTGTCATAGGAAACTGGGAGGAAGGCTGAAGTTAATGAGCTGCTTGCATTGCGATGGCTTATTTCAAAGAAGCTGTGTTTCTCCATAGTGGAGCCATCAGAAAAAAAGAATCAGCAGGACAGCGGAAAGCATCATAATCAATAAGGGACCAAACCAAATGGTGTTTAATCTAACAGGACTATTCCAAACTATAGACAATAACAGTGTGAGTCTTCATTTACAAAGGCAATCTATCACATGTCCTCCCAAGAAAGTGAGAAGTATCAATCTCTTTAGCTCAAATTTAAAAATGCCGTAGAACAAAATAAACTCCATAGAGACAAAAAAAAAAAAAGTTTAAAAGATGTGGAGAGAAATGTGAGCGAAAGAGATTTAATCTCTGTTATCTGGGATGCAGCAGACAGTGGAAGTTCCATTTACCATCTGTGACTAAATGCACTAATGCCAAACTTTTACTCTCAGTACTACCTTCAGGTGGTCTGTGGCTTATTATCTAAAGGCTTGGGAATTATAAGTTCTCTCTAATGACATAGTAATGCTGGTAAAGGATGACTTTTAATATTTCTTAAAGGAGTGTCTGATTAATCAAGAAATGGAGTTTGCAGTCCTCAAATTTGCATTCTGAGAATTTGAGAAGGAAAGAGCTCTAAAGAGAGTAAACTCTTTTACAACCACCATTCAGGTGTTCAGCTTTATTTCAGTGCTTCTTTTATTATAATGGTATTTTTTTGTCTACACAACGTTATAAGTATTTGAGCCCTGAGGATACGTTTACTCTAGTAGTAGGAAATTAAAGATAACAAAAATATGCACATCCTCCTAGTTTAAAGGAAAAGCTTACCCTTATTCTATAGAAAATAAATGGACAAAGATACAAGAAACCTGGACTAACTTGAGGCAATTCAATTTATTGGTAAGTATTAGCACTAGTTAAGTCATCTAGCAGGGAACTCACATTGGAAGATTAAAAATGTGAAAGATTTTTGTAGAAGCAATGATCTCAATTATGAATTATTTACCGAGGTTTCACTTTTATTAATTTGTGTTTTAACAGCACACGTTTTTACATTACATCTATTTGCAAAGAGAAAATGAAAAAAATGGCTGGAAGTATGTGACAGGAGAAGGTTTTAAATGCTATTAAGTGAGCCTTGATTCTTGCCAATAAGCATTAGAAAGACAGGAGGTCAGAAAATGTGGTTTGAAGTACCATGCTTTCATTAGAGCGAACTTTATTTTTTTTTATTTTGTCTATATAGTTTTCAGTCTCTTGTTATAAAATAAAATCCTTCTCTGAAACAAAATTAATGTAAAGAATTGTCAAAACAAAAGTCTGTCTCAACTTTAAAATAACAAGTTTCTAATTATCTGCGGGAAAGATGAAAGTTAAAAAATTTTAGGTTTAAGATTGAATATGAAGATATACAACTATAAAGATTGTTTTTTGGTAAATTTGATATAGTCTAGTTTTCATTATGTTTGCTGTTTTTTCATTTCCATTTTTATTTCACATGTACCTGATGCTGTTTTTTAAAAATAATTTTGTGTGAATACATATAAAAATTTAAATTACTTCTCTGTATTTTACACTTTATTTTTACATATAGGTTCATTATATTTCCAGATTATAAGCCATCTCTATTATTCATATGAACTAAAATGGCCAAGAATTGTTTCAGTGATTTTTCTAAACAACTAAACATAGTGTAATAAGAATGTTGGAACCACTGTGTATATTATGCCTAATTTACTATTGCAACTGTTTCTTTTCTATTAGGATTTAATTCAGATGCTGAGCTTGATATCTTATGTTTTATATTATGATGTCTCTATACAGAGAGCTAAATTTTATTTTCATTTTATTTAAATTATTGGATATTTTTATTTACACACAGAAATGTGTAATATATTTCCTATATACAATTACTAGGCAAGAGGACCAAATTTGATTCCGAGCTTACTGAGTTCAAAGTAGAAAAAGAAAGGGAGATACTAGCAAGGTTCCTAATATTCATGAGAAAAAAAGAGTTCCCTAGATAAAAACTAGAAAAGAAAAGGCAGTTGGTTGCAAGATTTCAAGCCCAGAGAAAAAAACAGACAGCTATTAAGAAGAAGCTTTTAAAAAAATATATCTGAAAGAAATGTCTCTTGTGGGTCTTCCTACAAAAGACATTGTGTGATACACTGTAGGATATTCTCAACAGCATCTGCACAATAGATCCAATGACAAATTTATATTTTTTAAAGTTATTTTTCATGTCCTTGAGTGTAAGCTGGTAGCCTAAAGCCAAAACTCAATTTAATAAAAACAATTAGAAGAGAAAAGCCCAAATGGTGCAATCCAAATCCAGAGCTCTTTAGTGTTCTAGACAGATCCAAGGATAAAGTTGAGACTATCATAGGGAATGGACGAGCTAACTGATTGTAGTGGTCAATCACCAGAATCAGGGCAAATTCCTTCTAACGTGGAAGATCCTCCCAGTGTTTGGGATGTAGTGCCATTCATCATTGATTAATGCTATTTATGCTTCGTCTAGTGGAACATCAAGACTTCATTCGATAAATAAAAATCACCAAATCCCCATTCTTCTAAACTCTAACAAAAGAAATACAAAAATTTCTAATATTTTATTTACTTCCATCAGTATAAAAGGAGACAGTATCTTGCTAAGTAGGAAAAAACTATGATCTCCATTGCAACCTCATTATCATGCAGTGCCAGAGTGAATTTTTCCTCATAAAATGCCTAGGCCTTGAAACAACCCAATTCTAAATACTCAGAGGGGGAAAAAAAGAATATAGGATCTAAAAATAGTGCCAAAAAGTTTTACTATAATGAAAGTGTTGAAAATTAAGAATATCACCATGGTTTAAAATTACAAGCTTACTTGTTTATTACATTTTTCAATCTATCACTCCTAGGGATTATGCCAAGTGTCATGATTTTGTTATGAATTGATAGATACTGAGCTTACATTTTATTGGAGGGGACAGGGAGTAAACAAACAAACAAAAAACAAATAAAATAACCATGAGGTGAGGTGCGGTGGCTCACGCCTGTAATCCCAACACTTTAGGAGGCCGAGGCAGCCGGATCACCTGAGGTCGGGAGTTCAAGACCAGCCTGACCAATACTGAGAAACCTCATCTATACTAAAAATACAAAAACTTAGCTGGGCATGGTGGCACATGCCTGTAATCCCAGCTACTCGGGAGGCTGAGGCAAGAGGATCACTTGAACATGGGAGGCGGAGGTTGCGGTGAGCCGAGATCGCGCCATTGCACTCCAGCCTGGGCAACAAAAGCAAAACTCCTCCTCAAAAAAATAAAAAAATAAATAATAAATAGTCATGAACCTAACAATGGCTATGGGAAAAGTCTTGATTATCAGTAGAGTCAAATAAACTTAATATTAGAATATTGAAGGATGTGTCATCCTTCGTGAGTGATGGTATCAATTGCACTGGTATTTTTTTCTAGACTATATTTCATTTTAGACCAAGCCTAATTTTGTTCAGGCCAGAAAACATGCAGGTCTGTGGTAATTTGCATGACTGAAAAAGAGACTTTCATTATCTCTTTGAGCATGATAGAAAAAAAAAATCAACTGAAATTGTTCTCTTGGAGGTTGCTTCAGGCCAAACAGTCAATAATAAGGTAATAAATAAGACTTTATGTGAGTCCGTGGAAAGAACTTATTGAAAGATGACTATATTCCACTCCAAAACTATTCTCCTAGGTAGTTTTTCAAAGCAGAATTTCAGAATTTAGAAGATTATTACTCTGATGTGAGAGTCTGGCTGTGCCCGTGATGTAGTCTACTGTAAGTAAATAAAGTGAGATGCAAATTCATGTCGTTAAAAAATATTTCTTCTTCTTCACCTTGCTCTTAATATAATTCTTCAGTGAACATAATTCTTGATTTAAGCTTTATTTTACTAAATAACACACCTACTCAGTGTTTCGTCACCAGTATAGTTCTTCTTATTTTCAAAGCGAACTAATGAGAAGTTCAGACTCTCTGGAAAAAAATAAATCTATGATTTTTCTTTTGCATGTGAATTCCACCAGCAACAGTAGGGCCTGTTTCATGATTTATTATGTATGAGGCCATTTTGCTCTTGTAATACACATGAAGGAGCATTTTCTGTGCTTCATAATTGAGCAATAAGACATCAACAGCAAGCGGCTACCTCTGACTCCATGGAATATTTACAAGAATGAAGGCTGAAGTGCAAGTGATTTCAGTCATCAGAACAGTGCAATAATCTCAAAGAAAAAAAATACTTGAAACTCCTAATGCTATTCAAAATTGAAATTATAAAAATGGAAACATCTGCAACTACTGGATCCATTCACTCTGTATTATTAATTTGGGGATGTTGTCGTTAGCAAATCAGAAAATTTCATTTGTGCTAAGAGTTCTGAAACTATTCCACAATGAGAAGTTACTTATTTTTCTACTGGCATTTTCTAAGAAAATGGCTTATTCCTGCAATTCATTTGATAGTAAAACTGTACAAATATTTCTCAGGGGAATCCAGTTACTTTGAACAAAGAAGAAAGTCTCATTGATTATTTGTTTCCAGATTTGGAAGCTGGAAAATGAGACTCTGTCTCTGATAGAAAACATGCATTTTAGGAGCTGAAAACTGGAGGTTCATGGAGGGTGGTGAGCCCAGGGAGGGTATGGAAGCTCCACGCCTCCTTTCTTATAACTCGCCCTACGCATCTTTTCATCTGTATCCTTTGTAATACCCTTTATAATAAACTGGTAAATGTAAGTAAGTATTTTCCTGAGTTCTGTTAGCAGCTCCAGCAAATTAATAGAAACCAAAATGGGGCTGTGGGAACTCCAACTTGAAGCCAGGCCATTGGCCATTCAGGAGGCCTGGACTTGTGACTGGTGTGTGGGGGGAATTTGGGGGGCATTTGTGCGGATTGGGCCCTCAAGCAATGGGATCTGACACTATCTCCAGGTAGATAGTGTTGGAATTGAATTGGAGGACATGGAGCTGGTGTCTGCTGCTTAGTGTGTGGGGCAAAACCCCTACAAATTGGTCATAGAAGTCTTTTGTGTTGATGATTGTTGTGGTGGTGTGAGAGCAGAGGAAAAACAGCTTGAGAAAGTTTTTTTCTGACATACTGGGTGGTAGTGGTAGGATATTCTGGTCTGGCACAGGCTCAGAGAAACATCTGGTTTGGGAAGAGAAAGGATAAAAAGGTGAAGGGATGAAGAACCATTGATTCCTATGTGGCCACGTGGCCACCCACTGTATAAAGCTACAGCTGAGTTGAGATCAGCTACTAAAGGTAAAAGTTACCAGTGGACTTTAGAGATGAACCTAACTTCCAGTGAATTGGTTCACTGGATATATAAGGAAATGCAAACTATGAAAAAAAGCAAAATATTCGATCCCTTGGCTATTGCTATGTATAATAGCTAAAATGAAACTAAGAGAGCATTGGGTTGGGCCTTGAGGCTGGACCAAGCTCAGATGTGAGTTTGTCTAAGCTCAGGCCACTAGCCTCAATGCCACCCACAATGGAGAAAATTATACCGGGACAACAGAAAGTACCTCTGAGACCTGTGGTTACCAAGAATGTAGTTAATGTGGGGGAAGGGCAAAATCAAGCACTATGGTTTGGATTTGTGTCCCAGCCCAAATCTCATGCCCCCAGTTGTAATCCCCAGTGTTGGAGGAGGGGCTTAGTGTGAGGTGATTGGATCATGGGGGTAGATTTCTCCCTTGCTGTTCTCATGATAGTGAGTTTTCATGAAATCTGGTTGTTTAAAAGTGTGTAGCACCTCCTCCTTCACTCTCTTCCTCCTGTTCTGGCTGTAAGATATGCCTGCTTCCCCTTCATGTTCCTCCATGATTAAAGGTTCCTGAGGCCTCTCCTGCCACGCTTCTGGTATAGCCTGTGGAACCATGAGCCAATTAAACCTTTTTTCTTTATAAATTACCCAGTCTCAAGTATTTCTTCATAGCAATGAAAGAACAGACTAATACAGAAGATTGGTACCAAGGAATAGGGCACTACTATAAAGACACCTGAAAATGTTGAAGTGACTTTAGAACTGGCTAACACCCAGAGGTTGGAACAGTTTGGAGGGCTCAGAAAAAGACAGGAAAATGAGGGACAGTTTAGAACTTCCTAAGACTTGTTAAATTGTTGTGACTGAAATGCTGATAGTGATATGGACAATGAAGTCCAGGCTGAGGTGGTTCCAGATAGAGATGAGGAACTTACTGGGAACTGGAATAATGTTCACTCTTACTATGCTTTAGCAAAAAGACTGGTGGCATTGTGCCCCTGCCCTAGGGATCTATAAAACTTTGAACTTGAGACAGATGTGTTAGGGTATGTGGTGGAAGAAATTTCTCAGCAACAAAATGTTCAAAATGTAGCCTGGATGCTTTTAGCAGCCTAAACTTCTGTTTGTGAGCAATGAAATGATGTAAAACTGGAACTTATATTTAAAAGGGAAGAAGAGTTTAAAAGTTTGGAAAATTTGCAGCTCAGCCATGTGGTAGAAAAGAAAAATCCATCTTCTTGAGAGGAATTCAAGCCTGCTGCATAAATTTGCATAAGTAAGGAGGATCCCTGCGATAATGGGGAAAATGCCTCAAAGGCATTTCAGAAACCTTTATGGAGTCCCCTGCCATTGGAAGCCCAGAGGCCTAGGAGGGGAAAATGGTTTCCTGGGCCAGGCCCAGGGCCCTGATGCTCTGTGTAGCCTTGGGACATGGTGCCCTTTATTGTGTCCATTCCAACTCCAGCCATGGCTAAAATGGGCCAAGGTACACCTCAGGCCATTGTTCCAGATGGTGGAAGCCAATAGCCATGGTGGCTTCCATGTGATGATAAGCCTGTCGGTGTAAAGAAGGCAAGAGTTGAGGCTTGGGAGCCTCTGCCTAGATTTCAGAGGATGTATGAAAATGCATAGATGTCCAGACAGAAGTCTGCTGCAGGCTTGGAGCCCTCATGGAGAACCTATACCAGGGCAGTGTGAAGGAAAAATGTGGTATTGGAGCCCCCAAACAGAGTCCCCACTGGGGCACTGTCTATTGAAGTTATGAGAACAGGGCCACCATCCTCCAGAACCCAGAATGTTAGATCCACCAACAGCTTGCACCATGCACCTGGAAACGTTGCAGGCACTAAATGTCAGCCCTTGAGAGTAGCCATGGGAGCTGAGTCCGGCAAAGCCACAGGGGGAGAGCTCTCCAAGGCCTTGGGAGCTTACTTCTTGAATCACTGTGGTCTGGAGGTGAGATATGGAATCAAAGGAGATTATTTTGGAGCTTTAAGATGTAATGACTGACCTGCTGGGTTTTGGACTTGCACAGGTCTGTAGCTTCTCTCATTTGTCTGATTTCTCCCTTTTGAAATATGTGTATTTATCCAATGCCTGTACCCCCATGGTATCTTGGAAGTAACTAACTTTTTTTTTATTTTACAGGTTCATAGGCAGAAGGGACTTGCCTTGTCTCAGATAAGACTTTGAACTGTGGACTTTAGAGTTAATGATGAAATAAGTTAAGACTTGGGACACCGTTAAAGAGGGGTGATTGTATTTTACAAGATGAGAAGAACGTGATATTTGAGAAGGGCCAGAATAATATGGCTTACATTTGTGTTCCCACCCAAATCTCATGCCTTCAGTTATAATCTCCAATTTTTAAGGAGGGACCAGGTGGGATGTGATTGGATCATGGAGGTATATTTCCCCCTTGTTGTTCTCATGATAGAAGGTTCTCATGAGATCTGGTTGTTTAAAAGTGTGTAGCAACGCCTCTTTCATTCTCTTCCTCCTGTACCAGCCATGTAAGATGTACTAGCTTCCCCTTCACCTTCTGCCATGATTGAAGGTTTCCTGAGGCCTCCCTACCCATGCTTCCTGTACAGCCTATAGAACCACGTGCAAATTAAACCTTTTTCTTTATAAGTTGCCAAGTCTCAGGTATTTCTTTATAGAAGTGCGAGAACATGCTAATACACCCAGTAACCCAAGAACAAACTAATATACCCAGAGGGTATAGTGTGAAGGAAGTGTTTCATTTTATACATTAGTATTGTCAGCTTTCTAAACAACCTTTACTAAGATGAATTATGAGAGTGAATAATTCTCTCTCATGGGGTGATATCTTTGGTTTCAAACAATGCAGAGTAGAAGAGCACATTTGGGTTGATGCAGAACCCAGAGCTCAAAATTGAGCAATGGGTATATATGATCCAGACATATAGGAGGTTGATAGTCCTCTGTGGAGTGTTTACTGGGGCTTTTTTCAAAAGCTGTGAGCACTCCCAGCAATATGAGTACTGAGGATTTGAACTAGAGAATTTTCACTTGATGTGCACTTACTGCCTTAGCATGAGATGTTGACTGAAACTACCTTTATGGCTGAAGGATGTTAAGTAATTTTAACACCTGAAATACCAGTACTGTTTTGGATGTCGGAGAAATGTTTTAATGGGGATGGTAGTACCCAGAAGTGTTCCATAAGATAATAGTAATGGTTTATACAGGAGCATGCTACCCAGGGAATGCAAGGAGAAAACACTCACAAGCTAGGAGCATCTTTAACTCTCGGACTGACTCTGAAACTGTGTGAGGTGCTGCTGGATCCTATTGACACTTGGACAATGCACTATGAAGAGCTCTTGGTTGACAAACAAGGAGCTGCTTAGTTTATGGATGGCAGTTCCAAAGGGAATGAACAACATTCTGTTTGGAAGTCTGCTGCTTTGATCAAAGAAGGTAAAAACAGATCAGCTTGATGGGGTGAATTGCTTGCTATTTTGAAATGAAGAATTAAAGAATGGTACAAGCCCCTGTGTTTAGGTTTTTACTCACTCATGGGCAGTGACCAATGGCCTGGCCATACACTCAGGCAAGCGGGCAATGGAAACCAGCTTATTAAACAGATGCTCATAAGGTGCATAGCTCTATGGAAGTTTGAGGGGTGCATTAGAGTAGAACAAGTCAATGCCTATCAGAAGAACTCCCTTCAGGTTCAGAAGGTGACAGGAATTGACAAGCAGATAGCCCCGTGTACTCCCTTGAGGTGTCCACCTGTGTCCATAAAATGAGTGGATATGGTCTTTTCCACCCTCTCAGGCACATAATACCAGTAAGAACTGTTTTGCTTCTCAGCAAGAAAAGCAGAGACTGCTTATGTCTATAGAGCAGATTCCCTGGTTCGAAGGCCGTGTACAAAGCTTGCAATTGAGACTGAGGCCAGTAGCTCTGAGGGGGCTACAAATGGATCTTGACAGGAATAGGCACTGGGTTTTATGGACTGGGTTTGCTTACCCAGTAGAAGATGAAAATGCTTACGGTGCTATTAAAAAAAGAAAACTGAAACAGAAAATGTTGCATTAATTTGAATGGCTTACCATTCTTTCTTTCATTTTTTTTTTTTTTTTTTTTTTGAGATGGAATCTTGCTCTGTTGCCCAGGCTGGAGTGCAGTGGCACGATCTCAGCTCACTGCAACCTCTGCCTCCCAGGTTAAAGTGATTCTCCTGCCCCACCCTCCCGAGTAGCTGGGATTACAGATGCCCATCACCATGCCCAGCTAACTTTTTTATTTTTAGTAGAGACAAGGTTTCACCATGTTGGCCAGGCTGGTCCCAAACTCCTGACCTCAGGTGATCCACCCACCTCAGCCTCCGAAAGTGCTGGAATTACAGCTGTGAGCCACAGTCCCTGGCCCATTATTTCTTCAGATCGTGGAACACACAACCCATATGTAATGTCAACAGTGGGCAGAGAGATACTCTTCTTAGAGTAAAAGTTTGATAGAGAAATAGAATGGGGCAATTGAAACATTGATTGTCTAAAACAAGGGGAGATAAAAGCATGAAGGGTGGCTTACACGCCTTCACTAGTGTGTGCTCACACTCAACATGATTGGGACTGCTGTCCCCACCAGATTTTTCTGTTTTCCTGGGTTATCTGAAAACAGGGGTTAGGGAGGATGGTGGTATGACTATGCAATTCTCATCAAGGGAGGAGTAAAATGGTGTAATGACTATAATTTTTTTCCTTTCAATTCACCTAAAAAATTTATCTCCTACCTGATGGAGTAGTGATCATAGTACCAGGGCTGCAACTACAAATGCTGGAAGCAGGGATGATTTCTAAGTAATAAACTGTAACTATGGTTTTAAGCCTTATGTCAGAATTCCTAAGGGCCTGATGGCAGTGGGTGTGCCTTTACCCCATCTAGCAAAATTGGGATTGAGAATGAACACAGCTATATTGCCTGGTGGTAAAAACAGCTCACTGGTTCTGCAGCTCTGTAACTTTACCTTATCTGAATGGGAGTGGACTGGGGAGAAGACACTTGGCAGACTTGACAGCTGCCTGCGATCTAGACCAGCAGAGTGGTGATTCGAAAGTCCCTTCTAAAAGTGAAAACATTAGGTAGAGTATTAATGGAGAGACGTGTAAAGGAGTGAATAAATGGGTTATAAATTGAGAGAAATCCAACATTACATTAATACTTTGAAAGAGGCTCAGAGGAAGCAATGACATTGTTTCTTAGCTCCATTATTCCAGATGCCTGAAATGGTGAAACTGTGTATTTGCAGAGACCACTCTGCTTTCAAAACCTGACAAGATTGAAAGGAACCCTGCTCTCCTGAGTAGCCTCACCCTAGGAGGCATTCATACAATATGATGAACTGGACTCATTATTAATGATTATATAAATCCTTTCGATGTAAGGGATCAGTGCTTGAAAACCAGGCATGGCCTGGTATAATATATATTAATCATATATCTGCATACGATTTGTCCACAGTTCTTGGCTCATAACTCCTATAGTCCTTGCTATAGACTTTTGTTATAATGCTGGGTGTGTTAGGCCTCAGGAAACAGAATCTCTCTTCTGCCCTCCTTTCACCTGCCTCAAGGCAGAACTCTAATCTTCACCTATCTTTCAGATTGTAGGTCTTAAGACCCCTCCCTTGAGAGGGTCCCACCCATCCTAGGGGATGAAATGCTGATTTTATGAAGCTTCCATAAAAATCCAAGAGGACAGAGTTAGGAGGGCTTCCAGATAGCTGAACACATGGAATGTCCTGGAAGGTGGCGCGCCAAGGAGGGCAAGGAAGCTCCAGGCCCCTTTCCCCATACCTCCCCCTACAAATCTCTTCATCTATATTCTTTGTCATATCCTTTAGAATAAAATAGTAATCATAAAAAACGAAAAACAAAAAAAAACACCCATTTTAAATCTTCTCTGAGCTGCAAAATTTCGTAACTTTTGTTACTGTTTTAAGTAAAATACGTAAATGGAATAACATTTTGTTCTACTATAGTAGAACAATTATTAGCAGGCATAGAATTGGGCAAAAATCTGTAGCTGGGTCCGTTTATTGACACTGAAATAACTTCAGTGCAAATGCTTTGAAATATTAAAAAATGTACAGAAAAATTCTGAAATAATTGCAATGTGGTTGAAAAGATAAAACCAAGAGAGAAAACCAGGGATTTTACTATGATCTTTCAAGAAAAAAAAATTTTTAACTGTTTTATTTTTTTAAATTAACTGCATGGTTGTTAGGAAAGATGACAGTTGTACAGAGGATAAGTAAGCTATTTTGCAGAACCAGAGATGTATACAATCAAGAGAACTACATTATATTGTTGGCCCTAATCACAGCTCTACTACTAAGTCCAAAGGAGGCTTGAGGCCCTGAGAGGCAGTCAGCCTTTCCAGGAAAGACTGGTGGTATTTTTTTTCTCAATGGGAACACAGAAACTTATATATGATGCCTTTAAAGATCATCAAAGTCATAATTCTTACATAAGAAGCTGAGGCATAAACTCTAATCTTTAACATTTGAAAGACCTTGGGCAAGAGAGGAAAGAGAGGCCCACATATATGTAAATCTTAAAGAATCATGAATTGAGCCACAGATTTTAAGTGAAATTTAAGTAAGCATGTTTTTTCCTCTTTCCTTGACAATTAACCTATAATGTCAAAATAATATTTGAAAACCTATGGGCTTACAATGAACTAAACGTGGTAAAATATTTTATACAACTGAATTTAATCATTACTACATGTCTGAGTATTTTGGTTGTATTTGGATAAGCAATAAAATAAAGACATGTAAGTTATATTTTTGTTTTATACTTTTCAATAAATTTGTGTCAAAGGGTAGAAAGTTTCAGTTATGCAGCATGAATAAGTTCTGGAAGTCTAATATACAATATGAGAACTGTGGTTAATGATGACGTATTGTACACTTGAAATTTGCTAAGCAGGTAGATCTTCAGCGTACTCACCACAACAAAATAAAAACTGTGAGAGATGATGAATATGTTAACTAGCTTGATTGTGGTGATTATTTCACAATGTATACCTATATTAAAACACTTTAAATATCTACAATTTCTATTTGCCAATTATATCCCAATAAAACTGATAAAAATTTTGGTGTTTTTGTTTTAATCTCAGAAAAATAAAAATTTCTGTCTTTATAATTAAACATTTCATGTAACTTGTTCTCTGTTGCAAGTAATCCCAAATTAGAACACTTTTTGAGCGATTTTACTTCTTAGGTAGCTCTTCAACATAAATTTCGGCATGGCAAAACTTGACTCTGCTGAGACGATGGCAACTGGAAGTATAATTAAACAGCATAGTCATACCTAGATTCGGACATGAACAATTCATTTTAAAAATTGTGTGCAAACATTGTAATGAGCTTATAGATCATAAATTCATTACCAAAGCCACAAAATATTCTAATTTCTTCATATAATTTTCAAGTCACTTAAGAATCATACAATATTTCTGAAATTCTTTCATATTTTTAATGCTGGAATATTATAAAGAAAATGTTAAAAGAAGTATGTTGATCACTTTGATAAAAATTCTCTTCAGTCAGGAATATACGTTGACATATAATGGCAAAAAAAAGAGTGTCTGTAGTAATTAGTTTTAACATTACTTCTCTGAAAAATTTTCTTTTCCATAGTCACAAAAATATTTTTGTTGCCTTGCTCTATTTTCCTTATATTTGAAAGTCAATTTTGTCCCATATTCCTCTATTTTTTTCCTAAAACAATCTCTATCTTTAAAATATTTTATAATTATTTAAAAAATTATTTTAAGTACAATAGACAAATGTAAATATGTTCTGTTTTTACTAACATAGCAAACAAAAGTTCATATCCTATTACTATGTACAGAAAAATAAAAATGAGCATAATTTACAGTTTACAGAAACTCAAATTTCCTTTTGGCTTAAGAATCATTTGCCACTTCAGTAACTTTTCTTATGTATTTTGATAAACTTAAATTGCTTTAACAGCATTTGGTTGACATTTATATTTTGTGCCTGAGAGTGCCTGTAAGTTCAAGTTGATACATGTGTCATTCATCAAGATATTTCATCTTTGGGCTGATTCAAAATATATTGTATCTAAACTATAAATTGTTCCAAAAAGTGTCATCTATATAGGCACAACTGAGGTCATGTCTCCTTGAAGAAAATTCAGACTAAGTACTATATATGACACTCCACACACACACACACACACACACACACACACACACGCACATCGCACTTCTGGATTTGGAGCTAAATGAAGTAAATGCCATTATCATAAGATTATTTTTAACAATATTTTAAAATACTGTAAATAATGCTGAGGATTTAAATTTACCTTTAAATTAAATTTTTTATTAGGGATAGATTAAAATCATTTTTATTTCTAGCATTCAATATTCATCCAGGTACCAATTTAAAGACTGATGTGATTCTTCATGTATATTGCATCTAGAACTACATAAGAATAATATAAATTATTAAATAATACTAAATATTTTTTAGCCATCATGTCCTACTATTGAAAATGTGCATTAATTTGTTACACCTCTAGAACCATAAAAGAGAGGCAAAGACCCAAAGGATTATAAATCATGCTGCTATAAAGACACATGCACACATATGTTTATTGCGGCACTATTCACAATAGCAAAGACTTGGAACCAACCCAAATGTCCATCAATGATAGACTGGATTAAGAAAATGTGGCACATATACACCATGGAATATTATGCAGCCAAAAAAAATGATGAGTTCATGTCCTTTGTAGGGACATGGATGAGCTGGAAACCATCATTCTCAGCAAACTATCGCAAGGACAAAAAACCAAACACCATGTTCTCACTCACAGGTGGGAACTGAACAATGAGAACACATGGACACAGGAAGGGGAACATCACACACCTGGGCCTGTTGTGGGGTGGGGGTAGGGGGGAGGGATAGCATTAGGAGATATACCTAATGTTAAATGACGAGTTAATGGGTGCAGCACACCAACATGGCACATGTATACATATATAACAAACCTGCATGTTGTGCGCATGTATCCTAAAACTTAAAGTATAATAAAAAAAAAAAAAAAAAAAGAGAGGCAAAGAAAATGGACACGTGGCACTGCTAGAAAATAACACTTCTTTATGGAGGAGGCTATTACATTCATGCTCTCTGAGAGGAAGAATTTGACAAATTATTCTGCACTACTCCTACTGAAGTCCTCCCCACCCTGTGAAACAGTGTCTATCTCCTACATTGTCAGGGGCACAAACTGCGCATCTTTCCCTCGTTTGGATATTGTGGTCTTGTGTCAAAGTCACAGAGAAAGAGAAGTGGCAAAGTGCTTCCTGGGCTTCTTTTAGGTATTTAACACCCTCTGATGCCAGTGACCTAGGACAAAGTCAGAAAACAAAACTGCCTAGGAAAGGGGATTTAATTGTTCAAGATGTTTCACAGCCAATTAGTAATAAAGCCAAGTGTAGTACTATGGTTTCTTAATTCCCTGTATGGAGTTTTTTTAAAAAAACATTTAAGCTTTTTATTTGCTGTGAAAAGCCTGTATAAAGTTATGTTAGTATATCTTCCTAATTTTATTATCATTCAAAGAAAGCATGAGAGTTATGATAAATCATATAGTGACTTTGTCTAAATGAACTCTATAGTAAACTGCGTGCTATAGCTCTGAAAAACCAAGGTAATATAGTAATAAAAATTGGCATTTGATATTTTTGTGACATTTCATACTATTTTTTTTTTTTTTTTTTTGAGACAGAGTCTCGCTCTGTTGCCCAGGCTGGAGTGCAGTGGCACAATCTCGTCTCACTGCAACCTCTGCCTCCCAGTTTCAGGTGACTCTCCCAAGTAGGTGGGATTACAGGTGCATGCCATCATGCTTGGCTAATTTTTGTATTTTTAGTAGAGATGGGGTTTCACCATGTTGGTCAGGCTGGTCTCTAACTCCTGATCTCCAAGTGATCCACCCGCCTCGGCCTCCCAAAGTGCTGAGATTACGGGCAGGCATGAGGCACCACACCAGACCACATTTCTTACTATTAACTAGATAAATCTAAAAAAGTGTACAGAAATTTGAAAGACTAGTGAACTCAGAGTCAAGAAGCCTTGATTTTAATCTCAGCTCTGTAATTGGCTACACATTGTAGTTTCTCTTAGGCAAAACAAATAAATAAGAAAACATGAAAATTCAACTTTTTTTTTTAGCTCTATGAGTTTATACATAATAAGCTTAACAAATAAATATAAGGAAGAAAAATTATTTTATTGTATGTCAGTAGATTTTTCTCTTCAATAAAGAGAACTGTTTTGCCTCTTTGTTCAGAGCTGTGATTTTAAAATGAGGCCCCTCATAGAACATCATCCACATTATCTGAGAGCTAGTTAGAAAAGAAAATGCTCAGGGCCTATACCAGACCTATTGAATTAGAAACTGGGGCTGTAACCATCAGTTTTCATTTTATTTCTAGGTGATGTCAGCGTATCCTCATGTTTAGGAACCACTGCTCCAGAATACTCCTTTAGACCTGGGAAAAATGTAAAGAGAAAGTGATAAAATTTGGTGTGAATAAGTTATGGAAACATTTGGCAGATGTTAAAGATGGAGGCTACAAATTAATTTTGTATAAACAAAGTGGGTTAAATGTAACCTTCACAATATGAGAAAAGAGACTATAAAATATTCATGCTCCTTACCTAGTGTTTCTCAGAAAATGGTTAATGATTTGAGGTGCTAAGTGCGTTTCTATTAGTGGCAATGATCGATCTTTTATGTAATGCGAAAGGGGTTTACATTGTTCTGTTTTTCAACAAAGCAAGTAACAAAATGTGGCAAGGAAAGGTAGAGACAGAGAGCTCACATTTAAGTACACAAAGAGGACCAGGACTCTTTAACCATTCTAGGATTAATAGATGAAGCCGGAAGCAACTTTTATTTGCAACATTTTCTTTGTGAAAGAGAGCAATGTTTTTCTTGAAATCAGTTTTCAGATGTGAAACTAAGAAACAGTATGAGAAAGCCCAAGAGCCAAGTGACAAAAGTTCTAAAGAAAGAAGCAGATATCCCAGGACACAGGAGCACACTCTAGTTGATTCCAAGAGCCTAGAAGAATACCATCTGGATTATTGCCCTTGAATCTCCTTATCATTTAATTATGAGTTTAATCAAGAATACATACTAGCAACTAACATTGAAATTCATTGTATGTCATGGTACAGAAGGTCTAGAAAACCCATTTTACTGTGTGTTTTCAGTCATTTGATGCTAATTAGGAGGCATTTTAATAGAGCTTTGGGCATCAGAACAAAACCTCTAGGTACGATTATTCACATACATGTGAATTGGGTGGATTCTAACCAACTATTTTAGTTCGCAGACTGCATTAATAAAATAGCTATAACAAGGCTTATTTCTTTTTGTGCATGCTGTATGTTATATTAGCATGATAGCTGAGGGAAGAGACAAGTAAGCAAATGTATTTATGCACTGAAGAGCTAAAGAATAGCCAAAGATATTAAAATAAAGGAGAAATAATGTTTGATAAATGTAAGGAGACTTGAAAGCACCAGGAGTACACTGATACATGCCATTTATGCAATATCAATTCCAGCCAGTTATTTCAAACTTTGTGTTATTGAAAAATAGCTAAACTTAGAGTCATTCAGAAAGACAAATAAAAAGGGAGAAAATGTAGTATAAAAACATTAGAAGGATATATGTAAAATAGATGCATAAGTTAGTCTTCAACAAAAATGTTACTGGTGCTATTTTGTAGAAAGAACATTTTCCCTTTTGAAAATATGTAGAAAAATAATAAAAGAAATTAAAATTATTCTACAAGTTTCTTTTATTAGTATTAAAGATCCTATCAAACCAGACTCCTTAAAATTAAACTCAAGATTTCTCTAGATCCAAATTACAAGTTAAATTTATTTTATTATTTGTTAATGTTAAGGTAACTCTGGATCAAATTTATTATGCACTGTTGGAAAGTAAATTAGTAATCCACTCAGTATATTTGGATTGAGAGTTGTCAAAAGAAAAACTTTAGGTAAAATAAATTTAACAGGATTTATTTGAGCAAAGAATGACTCATGATTCAGGCAGCACTCAAAATTGAAAGAGGTTCAGAAATCTCTGCTCCAGCAACTTGAGCAGCAAGGTTGTTTAGGCTGAACATGGAAACAAATAAGTTACTTAATTGGCTATAGCTAGGTGTTTGCTTTACTTATGTATGGTCTAATGGGAGATCTCTTGTCATATAACCAATTGGCTGGTTGACTAGTTGTGATTGGCTGAGGATCTCTCTCTCCCCTTAAATCAGTTACAAGAAATGCCTACAAATTAAATTTCAGGTTCCTTAAGTATAAGCTTTGGTTACAGAGACAACCTTTGGCTAATGGCCTTCTTATTTGCTTTGATAGAGTAAAGCATATGTTAGTAATGATGTTTTCCACCTAAAATATTCATATGCTGATATATATTTATTTTGTAAAAACTCATAATTCAAATTCATAAAAATAAAAAAGAAATAAAATTCATTATCAAGATTTCTATTATAATTATGGACATACAGAAGAATTTCAATAATTCCAATTAAAGTATATTTTATCACTGCAATTGTTTTCATATTGAAACAGACAGTAAAAACATCAAAGTAATAGCTACAATAAAAATTATTAATTATTTACCTCTGAGAAAATGGTGGGGAATATGTTTCAAACTGAAAGCTATAGAAACATGGAAAATGTTATATTTTAACTTCAGACAAAAAGCAACACAGTTTCAGTGCAATAAGGCAACAGAGAATCAAGTAATGAAAATAAGTCATTGCTAGGGAACTTGAACCATGACTAAAACATAATCAAAAATGTGTCACTGCTGAAATATAAAATATCTTTGTCAGACATCAAAAATTAAATGGGCTTTAATGTTGCATTATATTACACAGACAGAGCCCACATTACTGATCCTTGTTCTCCACTTGGGAATGAGGGTGACCTTATAACACAGAAAAAATTATGATTTGAAACATAAAGCAATAACTTTTGTCTCATGACACCAGTGTGAGGAGTTTGTCTGGGTGTTTTCAAATTATTTCCTCCCATTTTTTAATAGCTATCACACTTTCTGTAATACTTAAATATTAGTTTTATATGAAAAATATAAAATAGATTATCATTTATATTTTATGTAGTCTTTTATAAAAGCCCTTTAATTTTTATTAAATATAAATAAATACCAGTAATACAACAAATATTTATTTTTGCTTCTAATACATCTTGCCCAACTATCATTAAATGGGCAGTCAAATTATATATTAAAAAGTAAATATATATACCATATCATGAGAGTTTTATATAATTCGAGATGGAACATAGTATGGAAAGTAAGAAAGACAATAGTTATTGAGACATTAGAGAAGTAGTTAATTTGGGCATCAGGATAAGTAAAAGACCAACTAGTGGTCTCCAAACTCCAGAGCAGTTGAAGCCTCTCTTGAGGATGTCAAAGAAAAAATATACATGTGCTTTTTTTCAGGTCTCAGAAATTATAACATGTTTGGACAATGGTCTTCGAATGAATGCATTCAAAAGTTTAAAGCCAGAATCTCTATCTCCTTCACTAAAATATTTAGTATTTCATGTATTGTGGCAGGACTCATGTGTTAAGTCATAAAAACACCCATGAAGTTAAGACTGGAAGCCTGGGTTATAACCAAGTAAGCACTTAAGATTGTCATGCTAACCAATGGTCTGAGTACTGCTGCTAATAATGTTTATTAGGCAATCATATCTGGACTGTGGTTTCTGGTATAAATTAACTTCTGATTTCTCTTATTAGTGACTCAACAAAGAGAATGATATTATGTTCATTTGTTTCATTGTGAGATTTTATTTTTACCAAAATATAAATAGAATAATTTTATTTCAGTTTTAGAAATAGAAATAGAAACAATATTGAAGCTAATACAATATAGAAAAACCCAATCAATCTTGTATTCAAGATGGGGTAGAGAAGTTCATATTCCCTTGGAAATGTTCTCAGTTTCACAATAATGTTTAGTCTCTAATTATTAATTATTCTTGCTCATATCATCAGAAGTTTCTATCTGTGAGAAATTTAGAGATTCCTGGGAAGAGTTCAACAATGTATTTTCATCTTGGTAAAAGTCTGATTTATGAATAAATAGCAGACATTTGTCCTTTCAAAAACAACCAGAATAAGCATTTTTTAGTGAAAGAGAAAAACTGAATTACTTACATTTTCGAGACTAATTAGTGCCCAATTTGATGTTTTACACTTTTAAAATATAAATACTATGACAAAAAATAGTCAGCTGAATAAGGAGAAAACTATTTCAATAATCTATACCTTTTTAACCCAAAAAAAATTTCTTAAGAGATACAAAGCATAGACACATTTTGAGGAAATAACAATGACATGCTATTTCGTCTGAGAATCCAGGTAAATGTGATGCATCTTGCATTTTGAATAGAAAGTTTCACTTTATTTTAGTGACAAAGGAAAGTGAATAATGTAGGATCCCAAAGAAGCAAGAAGTCTGAAAGCACCATGGACAATAATGGAGTAAAGGGGCATCCCACTCCATGCCAGCTGCTATAACAGGATATCTGAAAACGGGTAATTTATAAAGAACAGATATTTATTTTTGACAGTTCTGGAGGGTGGAAAGTCTAAGATCAAGGCACCAGCATGTTTAGTGTCTGGTAAGGATTGCTCTCTGCTTCCAAGATAGCATCTTAGTGCTGCACCCTCTGGAGGGGAAGAACACTGTGTCCTCGCATGGCAGAAGACTGCAAGACAAAGGGGGACAAACTCCCTCAATTAAAGCCTTTTACAAGGCAACTCATCTCATTCATCAGAGTGAAGCCCTGGTAACCTACCAAAGGCCATACCTCCCTATATTGTTGTACTGGGGATTAAATTTCAACATAAAGTTTTGGAGGAGGAAAATCATCCAAACTATAGCAAGGCACACAAAACTGAAAGGATTGGTAGAGATTTGTAAATTACTTCTGTTAGTCAGCACCAGATCCAGCAGATTGTAATATTCTCCGCCCTTATGACCAATATAGTGATTGATTTGGGGCCTGTTAAGACTTTTATATTTTGAGATGCAAAGAAAAAATATTGAATTAAAAAAATATTCTATGGGTTTGTAAGTGGTGTTCTCTCGGGATGATGCACCTGGGCAATTGATGATACTCATGGACATGTAAATATATCATATATCATATATGGATTTATTATATCACATATAAATTCATATATAGGACATATATCCATACACATGGCATGTTTCTATTTAATAGAGAAATCTATGATTAGCCTTAAACAAACGTTGTTGAATTGCATATCCTCTTCTAAGACTCAACAGAGTGCAAGTGATGAGTATGAAAACGATTGGTTTTCTGACTATAATCAACCAGCCCTGTATAGCCTTTCAACCTTAGTTTGATATTTTAAATTTGGATTACAAAATAGGTTTAAATATTATTTTATCCAGGGTTCTCAGTGCCTTAGTCTGATTGTCTCAAATGAGAATGTTAGATACAAAGGCATATTTTTGAGGGGTAGAGGGAGGAAGGCAATGTTTTTGGTGCCTCTTCTTTTAACATGAAGAGAGAAATTCCAAAATCTTTTCCTGGAAAGTACCTAATAGCTTCGGATTTTTCCTGTCAGTGTAGTATGATTAAGAAGGTAGTCATTAAAGTAGAAATCAAAAAGATAATTAGTATAAAAAAAGGCTGATATTTTAACCAGTTGAGAATTTCACTGTATAGACTGATAGGGCACTCTGATTAATTGATTAAAATATCTAGAAAGAATCACTTGCCAGTAGTAATTGCAAAAAAAGAAAAAATGGTGACTAGAAAGGCGACACACAGATATCTCAGATTATGCTTTTCTTTTCTGTCTTCCTGGGACTATGAAAATCCCTCATGGGTAACTCAAGTGTTAAGTTTTTATTCCTATGTCAAACTAATCCACATTTGAATGCACATACATTTTAAAGAATAAAAATATCCAATGAAAAGGGAGATTGTCAGAAAGATTATCAGGATTACCTTGACCTTTGGGGCATCCTGGCAGAATTTTCATGTCCGGGCTTACACTGATTTAAGATGCCTTTCACAGGTAAGGATCTTGCAAATGGGGTTTCTATTTCTCCGTAGAACAGCCTCTGTAAATTTCCTGGGAACTCCAGCAAGTTAATCTCTGCTGCTGCTGTTTTCTGGTAGGCCTCTCAAGTACTAGATAGGTAATCTAGGATGATTTATTCCTCTCCAGCTCTCACACATTCTGTTGTGACGAATGGTCAAGAAATGCATCGATGTTCTGCCGTGATAATAAAGTTTTTGGACTGGTTTTGCAAATCCTTTACCTTAACCCAGGAAATACTGTAATGCTCAAGTGTCAGAGAGCATCACAGTCAAATTAGATTGTGTGCAGCTGGAAAGCAATTTTTGCCAGTAAGATATAGGCTGACATAAACGAGGTGAAAGACAAATGAAGATATGTGCATTTTCTGTTTGAGGTGTATATTAACAGTTTTGATGTAGTGTTTTCTTTACACAGCTTTAAAAATGGACTTTTTAATGGTTTTAATCTAAGTTAAGGTTGGGAGGGCCTACGGCAGATAAAAACAAAACATTTGAGTAATTGAGTAATATTCAGACCAGCCTGAGCAATGAATAAACTAGTGAAATTCACTCAGATCTATAAAGAAGTAGAATCAATCTTCAAGGCTTTCCTCATAAATATTCATTTACACAGACAACACCAAATACTGTGTATGTTCAGATGTCTGCACATCTATCAAGTGCCAAAAGTCCACTAGCTAATCTCCATAAAACAAAAACTAGCTAATCTCCATAACACACAAACCATGAGGGAATGCCTTAGATCTCTTAACTTTAAATTTTTCGTTAATTTTTAGGTATCTACTCCTGTTAGCTCCCACTGGTACATATGTTTGAGATCCTGGGAATGCAAGAAGTTATATCTATGTTACTTTTTTCATGATTTCTTTATTAAACATTTATCAAGTGACTAGTATGTGACGAAGATATCTGAATTGGAAGTGGGCCCTAATACTAAGGAGCTATTGACAAAGAGGAAATCTAAAACGAATAATAGAATAAAAGCAATGCAAAGTAGAACTTAAAAAAATGTATAGAGAAGCATCCAAAGAAGGTAGAATGCAATTTCATAGGAAGGTGAAATTATTTACACCTGGGGGTTAAAATATTTTAAATTATTTAAATTTTATTTGAACATGTTAATATTTCTCAATTATTTAAAACCCAACTAAAGTGAGACCTATATAATTCTTTCAATTAGCACTCTATAAATGTTTATTGATATATCTCAATTGGCATGTTAAATTTTAGATTGTGTTCCAATTTTAGTTTAGGAGGGAGGTCCTGTGAGAGGACTGAATATCTTTCAATTTGGGTTAAAGCAATTATGAAAGATTCCATTCCATCTTTCTTTACATGGAGTTTTATTCCTTTAATGCTGATAACTCAAAATTTAAACAATAAAGTACAGGATTTGCTCCACATTGGGTCATCTTATGACAAAATTTTATCATTTTGGTTGATGAGCTTTGTATTGCTGTCAAGATATCATTTGAGAGTGACACAAAAATTAATTTAAATAATTACCTGCTCCTCCCAAGTAGGTGGGATTACACGCATGCACCACCACGTCCAGCTAATCTTTTGTATTTTTAGTAGAGATGGGGTATCTCCATGTTGGTCAGGCTGGACTCAAACTCCTGACCTCAGGTGATCTGCCTGCCTCGGCCTCCCAAATTGCTGGGATTACAGGTGTGAGCCACTGCGCCTGGCCTATTTTGAGCTATTTTTAAATGAAGATGTTATGAATATTCTTGTGTAAACTGTCAATTTAATTTTTCATGGATAAATAATAACAGTACAAAAAGGAATATACCTCAACATGAAGAAAACACATGACGAAGCCACGGCTAATATCATACTTAATGGGGAAAACTTGAAATCATTCCCTCTGAGAACTGGAACAAGACAAATATGACCACTTTCACCATTGTACAACATAGTATTGGAAATCCTTGCCAGAGCAATCAGGCAAGAGAAAAAAATAAATGGCATTCAAATTGAAAAGAAGGAAGTCAAATTATTCCTGTTTTCTGATTATATGATCTTATATCAAGAAAACCCTCAAGACTTCATCAAAAACTCTTGAGATTTGATAAATGACTTCAGTAAAGTTTCAGGATAGAAAATTAATGCACAGAAATTAGTAGAATTTCTGCATATCAATAATGATGTAGCCAAGGACCAAATCAAGAAGGCAACCCAATTTACAATAACTGCAAAAAAAAGGTAACAAATAAAATACCTATGAATATATTCAATGAAGGCGGTAAAAGTCTTTTATAAGAACTACAACACAGTGAGGAAAAAGTCATATGTGACAAAAATAAATGCAAACATATTCTGTATTCATGGATTAGAAGAATCAATATTGTTAAAATGGCCACACTGCCAAAAGCAATTTACAGATTCAGTGCAATCTACAGATTCAGTGCAATCTATCAAATTGCTAACATTATTTTTCACATAATTAGAATAAAACAGCCTTAAAATTCATATGAAACCAAAAAGGAGCCGGATAGCCAAAGCAATTCTAAGCAAATATAACACAGCTGAAAGCATCACATTACCGGACTTCAAATTATATTACACGGACATAGTAACCAAAAGAGCATGGTAGTGGGATAAAAACAGACATAGATCAAAGGAATAGAATAAAGAACCCAGAAATAATGTCACATTCTTACAACCAACTGATCTTCGGTAAAGTCAACATAAATAAACATCGGGGAAAAGACATCTTATTTGATAAATGGTATTGAGAAAACTGGATAGCCGTATGTGGAACAATAAAACTAGATTCATGTTTCTCATAATATACAAAAATTAACTCAAGATAAATTAAACACCTAAACATAAGACCTGAAACTATAAGAATATCAGAAGAAAACCTTTTAAAAAAAGAAAATATCTTCTAGACATTGGCCTAGGCAAAGAATTTATGACCAAGTCTTCAAAAGCAAGCACAACAAAAGCAAAATACACAATGGGACTTAATTACACTACAAAGTTTCTGCACAAAAGAAAAACAGACAACCTACAGAATGGGAAAAAATATTTTCAAAATATGCATCCAACAAAGGGCTAATGTCACCAATCTACAAGGAACTCAAACAGCTCAACAAGAAAAAGACAAATAACCCCATTAAGATGTTGGCAAAGGACATGAACAGACAATTTTTCAAAAGAAGACATATAGTTAGCCAACAAACCTGAAAAAAACGCTCAGCATCACTAGTCACCAGAGAAATGAAAATTATAACCACAATGAGAAACTGAGACTGGCCCAATTGTTCCACAGAATGCATTCATTTTATTGAATAAACATCAAAATTGACACTCTCTAGTCTGAAAACTTAAAATTCACATTTGTGTTTTCTGAGTTCCTATATCAGGAAACCACCCTTAAGAAAGAAACTGAAAATCGTTAGATCACCTCATTCAGAAAATAAGACTCAGACCATCCATCATGATTTCTTCCTTATCCTTCCCTAATTTTCCTTTTCCCTGTATGTAGTTACATTCCTTCCTTGCTATGTAAATACCCAATTTCAGTCAGTAGAAAGAAATGTGTTTGAGGTTTGGCTCCCATCTCTCTGGCTGATGTCACCCAAATAAAAAGTCGTCTTCCCTGGCAATACTCATTGTCTCAGTGATTGTCTTTCTGTGTGGTAAGCAATGAGACATAGACCAAATCCCTGGCATTTTGACAACAATATCATCTTACGCCATTCAGAATGGCTATCATTAAAAAGTCAAAAAACAACAGATGTTGACAAAGATGTGGAGAAAAGGGAATGCTTATATGCTGTTGGTGGGAATGTAAATTAGTACAATCTTTATGGGAGACAGTATGGCAATTTCTCAAATAAGTAAAACTATAATTACCATTAGATCCAGCAATCCCACTACTAACTATATAGGGATATGTACTCAAAAAGAAATAAATTATATATCCAAAAGATACTTGCATTCATATATTTATCATAGTATTATTGACAATAGCAAAGATATGGCATCAGCCTAAGTGTTCATCAACAGGAATGAATAAAGAAAATGTGTTTATATATATATATGTGTGTGTGTGTGTGTGTGTGTGTGTGTGTGTGTGTATTATATATATGTGTGTTATATATATGTGTTTTATATATATGTGTGTTTTTTATATATATATATATGTGTTATATATATATATATATACACACCATGGAATGCTACTTAGCCATAACAAATAACCAAATTATGTCTTTTGCAGCAACATAGATTGAACCGTAGACCATTATCTTAACTGAAATGACTCAGAAACAGAAAGCCAGATAGCACATGTTCTCACTTATAAGCGGGAGCTAAACAATGGGTACACACATACATACAGATTGGGAAAATAGACATTGGAGACTACAAACATGGAAAGGTGAGGGGAGGGTAAGGGTTGCAAAATTACCAATTGGGTTCAAAGTTTACTATTTGCGTGATAAGTACACCAAAAGCCCAGACTTCACCACTATGCAATATATGTTTACAGAAACCTGCATTTGTACCCCCTAAATATAGAAGAGTGCAATTGCTGGGTCATAGGCATATATTTATATTTTTAATAAACCAAGAAACAATTTCAGAACATAATATATTTTGGGTTTAGTTTCAATTTTCTCAATAATTAATCATGCTGGGAATCTTTTCATGTGTTTACTGGCCATTTATATGTGTGGGTTTTTTTAGTGTCTAAATCTTTGCCCATTTTTTATTGGGTTATTCGTCTTTTCACTAGTAATTTATAATTCATTAGATACCCTGATACAACTGGTACAATGTCAGATATATGTATTATGGTTATTTTCTTCCATGTGTAGCATTTTCATTTTCTCAATGGTTTATTTTGATGAACAGATTTTTTATATTTTAATCAACTACAAATAATCTTTTTTGTTTATTCTTCCTCTCTATAAGAAATATTTCCCAACCCTACAGTTGTGAAGATATTTTTTCTATTTCTGTTAGAATCATTACAGTTATGGTCTTCATCTTTCTGCCCATAATTCATCTTAAATTAAAGTGTAAGATGTGAGGTAGGGATTAAAAGTTATCCCTTTCTTTAGGGATATCCAGGTATTAAAATAGGGAAAAAAATAACTTTTTTCAATCTTTGAATTATGTAGTTACCTTTGTTGAAAATCAATTTAGTGAATATGTGTAATCTATTTCTTCACCATCTCTTTTGTAGCATTGACATTATTGCATATCCCTACAGGAATTTCACACTCCCTTGATTTTTTTAAGATTTATAGTAAGTTTTTAAATCACTTAATATTTTTCTACCTAATGAATGTACTTGTCCCAACTCTATTGGCTCCAAACCCATTGGCATCATATTGTAAACCACGGTGTCTCTCATAACTTCATTTTAATAGTTATTCTTGAGGAGCTGACTATATGAAACGGTTTTAAAATCTAAGAATAAAATAGCCCCAAATATATGGATTCATATATAGATAAGCACATTGAATAGATTCATGAATGACTAAATTATAGACAAAAGTTCTAGTAATCACAATGAATTCAAGCTGATGCTACTTCATCAGTGAATCATACAAAAATAATTTTAAGATTAGTTAAGTTAAAAAAAAAAACCTTTTCAAAATATCTTGTTTTGCTTCTTAAATCTCCGGTCCAAGGAGACTTCCTTATTTTGTGTCCTAAAGTGATTCCTTCCCCCAGCCCTCACTCCTCCACCACATATATTTCATTTCTCCAAAACTTGGTATCTTCAGTTTTCCCTTTCCACAAGTGTATCCTTAATTTCCCAGGCCAATATCTGTTTTCTTTTCTTTGTGTGGAAACTTGATCAAATTATGCATGCTTAAAAGCAAAACAAAAACAAAAATATAACCTCTCAACATTAATAAAAGTTACAATCATGTCCCCAACTTACTGCTTTATCTTTTTTCTCTATATAGTCATGTTTCTTGAAATATTAATTTATAACCATTTATGCCATCTACATAATCACCTTTCTTTGTATCCTCTTTCAAAATATTTGGCAATGTTTCTTCTTATTTAGCTGGAAGACCCCACTTTATTTTAAATTTCCTTCTATTCCTCCTCAGGTATTGGAAAAATATTTTTCTTCAGATTACTCTATTTTTCATTAAAACAAGTGCTTTGGAATATGTATAGTTGCTCCTAAACCAATGATGAATACTTTGGAAAATGGCATGCCTGGATTTAGACTGGTATGTAGAACCTCCCAATACATAACACATGAATTTTGCTGATAAGCACAAATCAAAAATTAATGAAATACGGTCTTGCTTTCAAGAAGTTCACACTCTAATGGAGAAGAAAGCAATTTACATATTTAATATTTGATGGTACATATTTAATTTCCATAATTTAAATTATGGCATTGTCATAAGTTCTACAACAAGTGTGGAGCACCGTGGAGGTCAACCGACTTATCAATTGCAAAAGGGGAACAATAAAGTCTAAATAGAAGAAAAAATATATTTGACCTGATTCTTTAAGGATAATTAGATTTTTTCTCCAGTAGATTAAAAGGTCAAATAGCTGTCAAAGTAGAGGCACAGACACAGAGATATATGCACATAAGTATACAAAGAAAGACAAAGATGCTGGATCATAAACATATCTGATAATTTCTGGGAATCTACTGGAGTTTAGTTGATAACCAATAAAAGGCATATATGTTTGTATGTGTGCATGTGCCCAGAAGAGTCAGGATATGATAGGAATGTAGATTAAATTTAAACTATGAAAAGCCTTACATTAATTTATAAGAATTTGACAGTATATCCTCTTATTTGTTGAAGGTATTTCAACAAATTTAAGTAAGGGAGAATCAGAAAACTACAGGATTAGAATGTTTTGGTGGGAGGAAGGGATTTTAAGTCTGACAAGAAAGTAGAAAAAAGACTAGAGTTCTAAGAAAAAGGAAGCAGGTAGAACACTTACAATAGTAATCTCCAAATGTCTCTGATCATAAGACCCAGTCAAGGCATCTGTTTAAGAACTGTCTTCTCAAGGCCCTGCGTTTAAATTTATGACTCGCTGGTTGGGAAGTGGAGCTGTAGGATGTAGAGTTTAACATAATTTTTCTTTTTTATGGTCATGAAAACTTGGAAAACATTGAATTGGGAGATATTTTCAATGGCTAGGTTAGAAAGTGAGCAAGGTAATCTAAGGTAGTGAATGTGGGTATGGAGAAGGAGGATACTGTCAACTGTGGGCTCTGAGATATAATGTAAGAATTGACATTTGATTTGACAGAATTGATTAGATTTTGGTAATGAGGAAAATGAAGGTAGGAGTTGCAAATCCTCCCAAAATTTCTAGTTCCTCCTGTGTTCTTGGCAGACTCTGTGATCTCATTTCTTCCTAACCTCCCCAGATACTTTACTCTGGTCCACTGTTTCTCAAACATACTACCATTTCAGTGTTTCTGTATTTCTTGTTTCCTGGAATTCTCATTTCTAAGTCATCCATGTGGCTTACTCTTCAATATCGCTCAGGTCTCTGCTTATATGCTACTTCATCTGAGACCTTCAAGACCATTTCATATAAAGTAGCACATCTATGCCTCTATCCATGCTCTGTGTTAATTTTCTTCATATCACTAAACTTTTTTTTTCTTTTTGTCCTTTTTTAAACTATAGAATTCAAGCTCTATGAGTTCTGGGGACTTGGCACAGCCTGGGAAAATGTTAATGCTCAATAATTTGGTCAACGGATGAAAGATTCTAAGACAAACATATAAAAGTAAAGATTGATATAGCCTTTAAGACTCAAGAAAATAATCTCAAATGTTGGCCTTTCAGGCACCTTTATAGGCTGTAAGAGGATAATTTTGGGTGTTGAGCCCTTTTCTACTTTTGACAGAAATAACACATATAGATAGTCATCTATAAAAACGTCTCACTCAAATATGTTACATATTCTATTTGAGAAAGAAATAACCTGTAAATATCAATGATATTTAAAAAATCTAGCTAACTCATAAGAGAAAGTTTCAATTTTCATGCTTATTTCTAATGTAAACACTGTAATATAAAATGGCCCATCTGAATTGCCAAAAGAATTAAAATTTCAGTTCCATGCTGTATCTCCCTTAACTTAGGTTCATTGTTTTTTTCAAGTAACGCTCTTAAATTAAAATTACTCCTGGGAATTTTCTGTAAAATACAAACAGATTTGATACCTCTTTTTAAGGAACCCTGACAATTTATTCGGTTTTGTCAGTATATTTACTTTGTGTGAAACCACAGACTTCAACGGTGCAGATACCAAACTGAGTTTTGAATAAAAGATACAATGCAGTGATTTATTCTGAGGGGTAATGAGCCAGCATTCTGCAATTTCACATTAGATTGTTGGCTGCAACAATAAACCTCTTTCAAGAAATGAAATAAATAGGACTGATGGAAAATTTTTAGAAATTAAATCACCCACAACAAATAGGGACAATACACGAGAAATCTTTGCTATGTATTTGGATATATATCATTCATAAATGCAGCCGCTTTCTAAGAAGCCAGCAGAATCTGAATGCTTTTGAAAGCCTAGATACTCTACATGGATATGTTTTCAAATAAAGCGTATATGAATTTAACATAATTTTATACAGTACATTTGAACATACATAGAAAATCTACCTTTTAGAAACACTTTAAGTATGAAAATGATGTTTTATAAATTTGTTCCTCAAAGTCAATTTCAGTTTTTATAACATGAGACTTTCTTTCTTAAAAGACAAAAACTGTAAGATTGTAAATTTGAGTAATGTTGAAAAAAGGAAAAGAGTACGTGGGGCAAATCCTCAGCCATAAAAAAAAAATCAGTTTTAGGAACAAATTCTCATCATTACCAAATATTTGCTTTTTATTTATTGATTGATTTTTAATGTGATATTTATTTTTTTATTTTTAATTTTTTTTACTATACTTTAAGTTCTAGGGTACATGTGCACAACGTGCAGGTTTTTACATATGTATACATGTGCTATGTTTGTGTGCTGCACCCATTAACTCGTCATTTACATTAGGTATTTCTCCTAATGCTATCCCTCCCGCTTCCCCCACTCCACAACAGGCTCCAGTGTTTGATGTTCCCCACCCTGCGTCCAAGTGTTCTCATTGTTCAATTCTCACCTATAAGTGAGAAAATGTGATGTTTGGTTTTCTGTCCTTGTGATAGTTTGCTTAGAATGATGGTTTCCAGCTTCATTCATCTCCCTACAAAGGACATGAACTCATTCATTTTATGGCTGCATAGTATTCCATGGTGTATATGTGCCACATTTTCTTAATCCATTCTATCACTGATGGACATTTGGGTTGGTTCCAAGTCTTTGCTATTGTGAATAGTGCCACAACCAACATACATATCATGTGTCTTTATAGTAGCATGATTTATAATCCTTTGGGTATATACCCAGTAATTGGATCGCTGGGTCAAATGGTATATCTAGTTCTAGATCCTTGAGGAATTGCCACACTGTCTTCCACAATGGTTGAACTAGTTTAGAGTCTCACCAACAGTATAAAAGCGTTCCTATTTCTCCACATCCTGTCCAGCACCTGTTGTTTCCTGACTTTTTAATGATGGCCATTCTAACTGGTGTGAGATGGTATCTCATTGTGGTTTTGATTTGCGTTTCTCTGATGGCCAGTGATGATGAGCATTTTTTCATGTGTTTTTTGGCTGCATAAATGTCTTTTTTTGAGAGGTGTCTGTTCATATCCTTTGCCCACTTTTTGGTGGGGTTGATTTTTTCTTATAAATTTGTTTGAGTTCTTTGTAGATTCTGGATATTAGCCCTTTGTCAGATGGGTAGATTGCAAAAATTTTCTCCCATTCTGTAGGATGCCTGTTCACTCTGATGGCAGTTTCTTTTGCTGTGCAGAAGCTCTTTAGTTTAATTAGACCCCATTTGTCTATTTTGGATTTTGTTGCCATTGCTTTTTGTATTTTAGTCATGAAGTCCTTGCCCATGCCTATGTCCTGAATGGTATTGCCTAGGTTTTCTTCTAGGATTTTTATGGTTTTAGTTCTAACATTTAAGTCTTTAATCTATCTTGAATTAATTTTTGTATAAGGTGTAAGGAAGGGATCCAGTTTCAGCTTTCTACATAAGGCTAGCCAGTTTTCCCAGCACCATTTATTAAATAGGGAATCCTATTTTTAACTAGGAATACCTAGTTTTAACTTCATATCACTGAAAGAAGCACTGAAGAGATAGGAAAAACAGTCTTGAATCACCAACATCACCCCTCCCCTAATCCTCCAACAGTGGCGGCATTATGCAGAGAGCATTTCAGTGTCCTGGAATGAAGGAAAGCCAGCAGTTGTGAGGCATTGAACTCAGCACTGCCTTTGTTATAGGAAAAAGCAAAACTATACCAAACTCAGCTAAAGCCCACCCACAGGGGGAACATTTGAAACAGCCCTAGCCAGAGGGAAGTTGCTGATCCCAGGGGTTGGACCTTGAGTTTCCACGAGTCTTGTTACCACGGGCTAAAGTACTCTGGAGGCCCTAATAAACTTGAAAATCAGTCTAGGCCACAAAGACTGCAACATCTGAGTGAGTCCTAGGGCTGAACTGGGCCCAGAGACAGTGGACTGGGGGTTCACATGACCTACTGAGATACCAGCCAGGGTGGCTAAAGAAATGCTGGTGTCACCCCTCCCTTAACCTCAGTCTGAACAGCTCACAGCTCCAAAAGAGACACTTTCTTTTTGTCTAAGGAAAGGAGATGCAAGGGTGGGGAGGATTTTGTCTTGCATCTTGGTTACTAGCTCATCCATAGCAGGATAAGGCACCAGTCAGAGACATAAGGCTCACTTTCCAGGCCCTAGCTCCCAGGCATTTCTAGACACCCTGGGCCATGGGAAGGGAACCTGGTGCCTATAGGGGAAGCACCTGGGCTTGGCAGAATTTGTCATCTGCTAGTTTAAGAGAACTTGGACCCTAAATAACCAGCAGTGATATGCAGGAAGTACATTGAGAGCCTTGGGTGAGACACTGAGACTAGTTGGCTTCAGGTGAGACTCAGCACATTTCCAGCTGTGGTGACTACGGGCAAGACTCCTTCTGCTTGAGAAAAGTGGAGGGAAAAGTAAATGAGACTTTGACTTGCACCTTAGCTAACAGTTTGGCTAGAGAAGGTAGAGCACCAAGCAGGTTCCTCAGTTCCCTGACTCCAGGACTTGGGTCTTGGACAGGAGTTCTGGAACTGCCCAGGGCCAGAGTGGAGCCCACTCCCCTGAAGGGTGAGTCCCAGGCCAGGCAGCATTCACCACAAGCTGTTGGAAGAGCCACTGGGCCTTCAAGGTACATCAGCAGTAATCTGGCAGGTACTCTCTGTGGGTCTCAATTAGTGGTGTCCAAGGAGTAAGGTTCCTCTGCCCTTGAAAAGGGGAGGGAAGAGTGGGAAAAACTGCCACCTGTGGTTTGAGTTCCAGCTCAGCTGCAGTACAGCAGAACCCCAAGTACATTTCTAAGTTTTTGACTCTAGTCTTGGCTCCCAGACAGCACCTCTGAGCCTGCCTGGGGCTTGGGGAAACTCACCATCCTGAAGGGAAGAATATAAGTCTGGCCGATTTTGCCAACTGATGATTTTAGAGCCCCAGGGCTTTGAGCAAACATACTCAGTAGCCAGGGAGTGGTTACAGTGGGCCTTGGGTGAGACTCATTGCTGTGATGACTTTAAGTCTGACTCAGTGCAATCCTAGGGGCAGTGGCCACAGGGGTCCTTGGGTCATTCCACGCCCAGATGCAGGTGGCTCAGAACAGAGAGAGAAACTCCATTGTTTAGGAAAAAATAAGGGGAGAAAACAAAGGTCTCTGATTGCTAATCCAGAGAATTCTTCTGGATCTTGGCCAAGACTGTCAAGGTGCTACCTCTATGAGTCTGCAAGGACCACAGTGTTAATGAGTTTGGGGTGCCCCTTAAAGCAGATACAGCTTAGATTACAACACCTAAGTCCTTTTGAATACTTGGAAAGCCTTCCCAAGAAGGATGGGTACAAACAAGCCAAGACTCCAAAGACTACAATAAATACCTAACTCTTCAATGTCCAGACACAGATGAACATATAAAAGTATTAAGATGATCCAAGAAACATGAGCTCACCAAATAGACTAAATAAGTCACCAGAGACCAACCCTGGTGAAACAGATCTATGTGATCTTTTAGACAGTGAATTCAAAATAGCTCTTTTAAGGATACTCAACAAAATTCAAGATAACACAGATAAGGAATTTAGAATTCCTTCAGATAAAATTAACAGGAATCAAGCAGAAATTCTGGAGATGAAAAATGCAATTGATGTATTGAAGAATGCATTAGAGTCTTTTAATAGCAGAATTAATCAAGCAGAAGAAAGAATTAGTAACCTTGAACACAGGCTATTTGAAAATACTTGATCAGAAGAAACAAAATATTTGCCTCGGAAGGGCAAATATAAGAGTTATTGGCCTTAAGAGGATATAGAGAAAGCAATAGGGGTAGAAAGTAAGGGTTAATAACAGAGAACTTCCCAAACCTAGAGAAAGATATCAATATCCAATATTTTTCAAAATATTATCAACATCCAAGTACAAGTTATAGAATGCAAAGCAGATTTAACCTAAAGAAGACTGCCTCAGACATTTAATACTCAAACTCACAAAAGTCAAGGATAAAAAAAAAGATTCTAAAAGAAGCAAGAGAAAATAAACAAATAACAACAATAGAGCTCCAATACATCTAGAAGTAGACTTTTTGTGGAAACTTTACAGACTGGGAGAGAGTGACATGACATATTTAAAGTGCTGAAGAGAAAAACAAACAAACAAAAAACTCTTTTACCTTAGAATAGTATATCTGGTGAAAATATTCTTCAGCCATGAAGATGAAATAAAGTCTTTCCCAGACAAACAAAAGCTGAGAGATTTCATCGACACCAGACCTGTCCTACCAGATATGCTAAAGGGAATACTTCAGTCAGAAAGTAAAGGATGTTAGTGAGCAATAAGTAATAAGACACAAAACTCACTAGTTATAGTAAATATGCAGAAAAACAGAATATTATAACAGTGTATCATTGGTGTGTAAATTACTCTTATCCTAAGTAAATGACTAAGTGATGAACCAATAAAAATAGTAATTACAACAACTTTTTAAGACATAGTACAATAAGATATAAATAGTAACAGCAAAACATTAAAAAGCAGGGAAACAAAGTTAAGGCATAGTCTTTATTAATTTTCTTTTTGCTTATTTGTTTATGTAAACAATATTAACTTGTTTTCAGTTTTAAATAATGGATTTTAAGATAGTATTTGCAAACCTCATGGTAATTTCAAACCAATAACCATATAACAGATACACCAAAAATAAAAAGGAAGAAAACAAATCATATCACCAGAGAAAAGCACCTTCACCAAAAGGAAGGCAAGAAGGAAAAGAAGACTGCAAAACATTGAGAAAACAAATTAAAAAATGGCGGAAGTAAGTACTACTTGTGCCGTGACTCGGATCGGGGGACCTCCCTTGGGAGATCAATCCCCTGTACTCCTGTTCTTTGCTCCATGAGAAAGATCCACCTATGACCTCAGGTCCTCAGACCGACCAGCCCAAGGGACATCTCACCAATTTTAAATCAGGTAAGTGGCCTCTTCTTACTCTCTTCTCCAGCCTCTCTCACTGTCCCTCAACCACTTTCTCCTTTCTAGTCTTCAATCTCTCCCTTCTCTTAATTTCAATTCCTTTCATTTTCTGGGAGAGACAAAGGAGACACGTTTCATCCGTGGACCCAAAACTCCGGCGCCAGTCACGGACTGGGAAGGCAGCCTTCCCTTGGTGTTTAATCATTGCAGGGACACCTCTCTGATTATTCACCCACGTTTCAAAGGTGTCAGACCATGCAGGGATGCCTGCCTTGGTCCTTCACCCTTAGTGGCAAGTCCCGCTTTTCTGGGGAAGGGGCAAGTACCCCAACCCCTTCTCTCCTTGTCTCTACCCCTTCTCTGCTTTTCTGGGAAAGGGGCAAGTACCCCAAACCCTTCTCTCCTTGTCTCTATCCCTTCTCTGCTTTTCTGGGGAAGGGGCAAGTACCCCAACCCCTTCTCTTCTTGTCTCTACCCCTTCTCTCCTTGTCTCTACCACTTCTCTGCTTTTCTGGGGAACGGGCAAGTACCCCTCAACCCCTTCTCCTTCACCCTTAGCGGCAAGTCCCGCTTTTCTGGGGGAGGGGCAAATACCCTTCAACCCCTTCTCCTTCACCCTTAGTGGCAAGTCCCGCTTTTCTGAGGGAGGGGCAAGTACCCCTCAACCCCTTCTCTTTCACCCTTAGTGGCAAGTCCCGCTTTCCTAGTGGGCAAGAACCCCCCAATCGCTTATTTCCACACCCCAACCTCTTATCTCTGTGCCCCAATCCCTTATTTCAGCACCCTGACCTCTTATCTCTGTGCCCCAATCCCTTATTTCTGTGCCCCAACCCCTTCTCTGCTTTTCTGGAGGGCAAGAACCCCTCACCCCTTCTCCGTGTCTCTACTCTTTTCTCTGGGCTTGCCTCCTTCACTATGGGTAAGCTTCCACCTTCCATTCCTCCTACTTCTCCCTTAGCCTGTGTTCTCAAAAACTTAAAACCTCTTCTCACACCTGACCTAAAACCTAAATGCCTTATTTTCTTCTGCAATGCCGCTTGACCCCAATACAAACTCGACAGTAGTGCCAAATAGCCAGAAAATGGCACTTTGAATTTTTCCATCCTGCAAAATCTAAATAATTCTTTTCATAAAATAGGCAAATGGTCTGCGGTGCCTGACATCCAGGCATTCTTTTACACATTAGTCCCTTCCTAGTCTCTGTGTCCAGTGCAACTCATCCCAAATCTTCCTTCTTTCCCTCCCACCTGTCCCCTCAATACCAACCCCAAGCGTCACTGAGTCTTTCTAATCTTCCTTTTCTACAGACCCATCTGACCTCTCCCTTCCTCCCCAGGCTGCTCCTTGCCAGGCCGAGCTAGGTCCCAATTCTTCCTCAGCCTCCGCTCCTCCACCCTATAATCTTTTTATTACCTCCCCTCCTCACACCTGGTCCGGCTTACAGTTTCATTCTGTGACTAGCCCTCCCCCACCTGCCAAGCAATTTACTCTTAAAAAGGTGGCTGGAGCCAAAGGCATAGTCAAGTTTAATGCTCCTTTTTCTTTATCCCAAATCAGATAGCGTTTAGGCTTTTTCATCAAATATAAAAATCCAGCTCAGTTCATGGCTCGTTTGGCAGCAACCCTGAGACGCTTTACAGCCCTAGACCCTAAAAGGTCAAAAGGCCGTCTTATTCTCAACATACATTTTATTACCCAATCTGCTCCCGACATTAAATAAAACTCCAAAAATTGGAATCTGGCCCTCAAACCCCACAACAGGACTTAATTAACCTCACCTTCAAGGTGTACAATAATAGAAAAAAGTTGCAATTTCTTGCCTCCACTGTGAGACAAACCCCAGCCACATTTCCAGCACACAAGAACTTCCAAACGCCTAAACCACAGCAGCCAGCTGTTCCTCCAGAACCTCCTCCCACAAGAGCTTGCTACACATGCCGGAAATCTGGCCACTGGGCCAAGGAATGCCTGCAGCCCGGGATTCCTCCTAAGCCACGTCCCATCTGTGTGGGACCCCACTGAAAATCGGACTGTTCAACTCACCTGGCAGCCACTCCCAGAGCCCCTGGAACTCTGGCCCAAGGCTCTCTGACTCCTTCCCAGATCTTTTCGGCTTAGCGGCTGAAGACTGACACTGCCCGATCGCCTCGGAAGCCCCCTAGACCATCACGGACGCCGAGCTTCAGGTAACTCTCACAGTGGAAGGTAAGCCCGTCCCCTTCTTAATCAATATGGAGGCTACCCACTCCACATTACCTTCTTTACAAGGGCCTGTTTCCCTTGCCTCCATAACTGTTGTGGGTATTGACGGCCAGGCTTCTAAACCTCTTAAAACTCCCCAACTCTGGTGCCAACTTAGACAATACTCTTTTAAGCACTCCTTTTTAGTTATCCCCACTTGCCCAGTTCCCTTATTAGGCTGAGACACTTTAACTAAATTATCCGCTTCCCTGACCATTCCTGGACTACAGCTATATCTCATTGCCGCCCTTCTTCCCAATCCAAAGCCTCCTTTGCGTCCTCCTCTTGTATCCCCCCACCTTAACCCACAAGTATAAGATACCTCTACTCCCTCCTTGGCGACCGATCATGCACCCCTTACCATCTCATTAAAACCTAATCACCCTTACCCCACTCAAAGCCAGTATCCCATCCCGCAGCATGCTTTAAAAAGATTAAAGCCTGTTATCACTCGCCTGCTACAGCATGGCCTTTTAAAGCCTGTAAACTCTCCTTACCATTCCCCCATTTTACCTGTCCTAAAATCAGACAAGCCTTACAAGTTAGTTCAGGATCTTCGCCTTATCAACCAAATTGTTTTGCTTATCCACCCCGTGGTGCCAAACCCATATACTCTCCTATCCTCAATACCTGCCTCTACAACCCATTATTCTGTTCTGGATCTCAAACATGCTTTCTTTACTATTCCTTTGCACCCTTAATCCCAGCCTCTCTTCGCTTTCACTTGGACTGACCCTGACACTCATCAAGCTCAGCAAATTACCTAGGCTGTACTGTTGCAAAGCTTCACAGACAGCCCCCATTACTTCAATCAAGCCCAAATTTCTTCCTCATCTGTTACCTATCTCAGCATAATTCTCATAAAAACACACATGCTCTCCCTGCCAATCGTGTCTGACTGATCTCTCAAACCCCAGCACCTTCTACAAAACAACAACTCCTTTCCTTCCTAGGCATGGTTAGCGTGGTCAGAATTCTTACACAAGAGCCAGGACCACACCCTGTAGCTTTTCTGTCCAAACAACTTGACCTTACTGTTTTAGCCTAGCCCTCATGTCTGCGTGCAGCGGCTGCCGCTGCATTAAGACTTTTAGAGGCCCTCAAAATCACAAACTATGCTCAACTCACTCTCTACAGTTCTCATAACTTCCAAAATCTATTTTCTTCCTCATATCTGACGCATATACTTTCTGCTTCCTGGCTCCTTCAGCTATACTCACTCTTTGTTGAGTCTCCCACAATTACCGTTGTTCCTGGCCCAGACTTCAATCTGGCCTCCCACATTATTCCTGATACCACACCTGACCCCCATGACTGTATCTCTCTGATCCACCTGACATTCACCCCATTTCCCCAAATTTCCTTCTTTCCTGTTCCTCACCCTGATCATGCTTGATTTATTGATGGTGTTTCCACCAGGCCTAATCGCCACACACCAGCAAAGGCAGGTTATACTATAGTACAAGCCACTAGCCCGCCTCTTAGAACCTCTCATTTCCTTTCCATCGTGGAAATCTATCCTCAAGGAAATAACTTCTCAGCGTTCCATCTGCTATTCTACTACTCCTCAGGGATTATTCAGGCCCCCTCCCTTCCCTACACATCAAGCTCGAGGATTTGCCCCACCCAGAACTGGCAAATTAGCTTTACTCAACATGCCCTGAGTCAGATAACTAAAATACCTCTTAGTCTAGATAGATACTTTCACTGGATAGGTAGAGGCCTTTCCTACAGGGTCTGAGAAGGCCACCACAGTCATTTCTTCCATTCTGTCAGACATAATTCCTCAGTTTAGTCTTCCCACCTCAATACAGTCTGATAACAGATGAGCCTTTATTAGTCAAATCAGCCAAGCAGTTTTTCAGGCTCTTAGTATTCAGTGAAACCTTTATATCCCTTACGGTCCTCCATCTTCAAGAAAAGTAGAATGGACTAAAGGTCTTTTAAAAACACACCTCACCAAGCTCAGCCACCAAAAAGGACTGGACAATACTTTTACCACTTTCCCTTCTCAGAATTCAGGCCTGTCCTCGGAATGCTACAGGGTACAGCCCATTTAAGCTCCTGTATAGACGCTCCTTTTTATTAGGCCCCAGTCTCATTCCAGACACCAGACCAACTTAGACTGTGCCCCAGAAAACTTGTCATCCCTTCTATCTTCTGTCTAGTCATACTCCTATTCACCGTTCTCAACTACTCATACATGCCCTGCTCTTGTTTACACTGTTTTTCCAAGCCATCACAGCTGATATCTCCTGGTGCTATCCCCAAACTGCCACTCTTAACTCTTGAAGTAAATAAATAATCTTTGCTGTCAGGACTATGCTGAATCTCCTTAGGCACTCTCTAATCAGATATCCTGAGTCGTCCCAATTCTTAGACCTTTTATACCTGTTTTTCTCCTTCTGTTATTCCATTTAGTTTTTCAATTCATACAAAACCGTATCCAGGCCATCACCAATCATTCTATACGACGAATGTTTCTTCTAACACCCCCAAAATATCACCCCTTACCACAAGATCTCCCTTCAGCTTAATCTCTCCCACTCTAGGTTCCCACGCCGCCCCTAATCCCGCTTGAAACAGCCCTGAGAAACATCGTCCATTCTCTCTCCATACCACCCCCCAAAAATTTTTGCCGCCCCAACACTTCAACACTATTTTATTTTTCTTATTAATATAAGAAGGCAGGAATGTCAGGCCTGTGAGCCCAAGCCAAGCCATCGCATCCCCTGTGACTTGCACCTATACGCCCAGATGGCCTGAAGTAACTGAAGAATCACAAAAGAAGTGAATATGCCCTGTCCCACCTTAACTGATGACATTCCACCACAAAAGAAGTGTAAATGGCTGGTCCTTGCCTTAAGTGATGACATTACCTTGTGAAAGTCCTTTTCCTGGCTCACCCTGGCTCAAAAAGCACCCCCACTGAGCACCTTGCGACCCCCACTCCTGCCCGCCAGAGAACAAACCCCCTTTGACTGTAATTTTCCTTTACCTACCCAAACCCTATAAAACGGCCCCACCCTTATCTCCCTTCGCTAACTCTCTTTTCAGACTCAGCCCGTCTGCACCCAGGTGAAATAAACAGCCATGTTGCTCACACAAGCCTGTTTGGTGGTCTCTTCACACGGATGTGCATGAAACTACTTATCAATAATAAGAATGAATGTAAATGAACTGAACTCGCTTATAAAAAGGCAGAGAGTGGCTGAAGGGGCTGAATGGTATTAAAAAAAAACAGACTCAATGATCTGCTGCCTATAACAAACACACTTCACCTATAAAGACATACATAGGCTGAAAAAAAGGTATGAAAAAGGTATTTCATGCCAATGAAAACCAAAAAAGAGCAGGAGTAGCTATACTTAATTCAGACAAAATATATTTCAAGACCAAAACTATAAGAAGGGACAAATAAATGTTCTATATAATAATAATAAGATGTCAATTCAGGAAAAGTATATAACAATTTTAAATATATATGCACCCAACACTGGAGAACCCAGATATATAAAGAAAATAGAGGTAAAGAGAGAGACAGGCCCCATTACAGTAATATCTGGAGAATTCAGCACCCCACTTTCAGCATTGGACAGATCTTCCAGACAGAAAACTAGGAAAGAAACATCAAATTTAATTCACACTATGCACCAAATTAAACTTTTACAGAACATCTCATTGAATGGCTGAAGAATACATATTTTTTTCCCTCAACACATGGATCATTCTGAAGGATAGACCATCTGTTAGGTTGCAAAACAAGTCTTTAAACATTCAAAAAATTTGAAATAATATTAAGCATCTTCTCTGACCACAATAAAATAAAACAAGAAATCAATGACAAGAGGAATTTTGGAAACTATACACATACATGGAAATTAAACAATAAGCTACTGAACGACCAGTGGGTCAATGAAGAAATTAAAAAGAAAATTGAAAGATTGTTTGAAACAAATGATAATGGAAACACAATATACCAAAGCCTATGGGATATAGAAAAAACGGCACTAGGAGGGAAGTTTATAGCTATAAGTGCCTACATTGGAAAAGAAGAGAAACTTCAGATAAACAATCTAGCAATACATCTTAAAGAAATAGAAAAGGAAGACCAAACCAAACCTGAACTTAATAAAGGAAAAAATTAATAAAGATCAAAGTAGAAATAAATGAATATAAAATGAAGAAATCAATACAAAAGATCAATAAAGCAAAAAATTGGCTTTTGAAAAAGTTAACAAAGATGACAAACTTTTAGCCCAACCAAGAAAAAAAGAAGATCCAAGTAAATAAAATTAGAGATGAAAAAGGAGACATTACAACTGATACTGCAGAGAATCGAAGCATCATTAGTGGCTACTATGAGCAACTATATGCTAGTAAATTGGAAAATCCAGAAAATATGGAAAAATTCTTAGACTCATACAGCCTACCAAGACTGAACCTGGAAGAAATCCAAAACCAGATCAGACCAATAGCAAGTAATGAGATTGAAGTCAGGAAAGAAATCCCAGGACCCAATGCCTTCACTGCTGAATTGTAGCAAACATTTAAAGAAGTAATAGCAATCCTACTGAAACTGTTTCGAAAAATAGAGGAGGAGGGAATGCTTCTCAACTCATTGCACAAGGTCAGTATTACCCTGATACCAAACCAGACAAAGACACATCAAGAAAAGGAAACCACAGGCTAATATCTCTGATGAATATTGATGCAAAAATCCTCAACAAAATACTAGCAAGCCAAATTCAAAAATACCTTAGAAAGATCATTCATCCTGACTCCGTGGGATTTATTCCAGGGATGCAAAGATGGTTCAACATACATAAATAAATCAATGAGATGCATCATATCAACAGAATGAACAAAAACCATATGATTATTTCAGTTGATGCTGAGAGGGCATTTGATAAAATCCAACATCCTTTCATGATAAAAACCCTAAAAAAACTGGGCGTAGAAGGCACATACCTCAACATAATAGAAGCCGTATATAACAGACCCATAGCTAGTATCATACTGAATGGGGACAAAATGAAAACCTTACCTCTAAGATTGGGAATACAACAAGAATGCCCAGTCACCACTGTTATTCAACATGGTACTGGAAGTCCTAGCTAGAGCAATCAGGCCTAAGAAAGATATAAAGGGCATCCAAATTAGTAAGGAAGAAGTCAAATTATTCTTGTTTGCAGATGACATAATCTTATATCTGGAAAAACCTAAGGACTGCACAATGAAACTATTAGAACTGATGAACAAATTCAGTAAAGTTGCAGGATGCAAAATTGACACACAAAAATCAGTAACATTTTTATATGACAACAGTGAACAATATGAAAAAGAAATTAAAAATAATCCCATTTACAATAGGCACACATGAAATTAAATAGCTAGTAATTAACCAAAGAAGTGTAAGCTGTCTATAGTGAAAACTACAAAACACTGATGAAAGAAACTGAAGAGAACACACACACACACACACAAAGAAAAAGTATTTTATGTTCATGAATTGGAAGAGTCAATATTGTTAAAATGTCCATACTACCCAAAGCAGTCTGTAGATTTAATTCAAGATACTATTCAATTTAATTTAGGCTTATATTATCAACCTGATAAAATATCGTTTCAAGGTTAAAAATACTATTGCTAAGTGGTTTTCAAAAATAAAGCATTTCAATCAATGCTTCATATTAATTAGTAACAGACTGATAGTATCAACTGCTTTCATTTAAAAAAACTTTCTGTTGAAGGTGCCTTTGACTTTACAAAATGATACATGAACTCTTATTTGTGGTTTGCAATCTGAAAACCGAAACCTGTAGCATTCAATCAGTATTTATGTGGGAGCATTTTGTCCAGATACTTTAGTAGTACCAAGAAAAGAGAAAAATGAGATTGACAAACTATGATTAGCACATGGTCCACCTAACCTTATAATAATGTCATCTCATTTCAGAATGGATTTTCTTATTTTAAAAAGGGGGAGGTACAAGATACGTAGATGGACATATAGGGAGAAATAGGGAGGACCTCCAGAGCTTTCACCATCACTGGAGAGAAATCTTTTAGAATTCTTATCTTAAAATGCAGATCATGTCATGAATGGGGAGGGGATGAAGAGGGCCAGCACAGAAGTGGTGGCCACAGTTGATGAAGCTGGGTCAAGTTTCAGCAGTCCCTAGGGACACATGGTGGTGTGAAGGGATCACAATGGCTTGGCCTTTGATATCACTGAGGAATAGAAAGTTTTTACAACTTCAGCGTGCAAGATTGTTTTTCTAATGATTAAGTGGAACTCATACAATAATTAATGAGAGAGACAGATTCACTTTGATGTGGCAGAGGAATGTATCTTAATCACTGCTGTTTTTGTAGTCATCTCAAAGTGAATTTCCCACAGAAGGCTTTTAATTACTTCTACCATCAAGGGCCTAAAAACTCCCTACCAAAATTGTAGCAATAACATGGTGCATAATTTGAGTAACCCCCTCTCATCTGTAAAACTTGCAACTTTAAAATGTGTGACCATCTTCAAACGTTGTTTTGAGGATGAATTAAATGAGACTATAAAGGGTACTCTAATGTACTGTATAAATGAAAGAAAGAAGTAAGATAAATCTGCCTGTGTTACCAGTTCTTATATAAGTAAAGATAATAACCATATTTGGCTAAAATACTATTGCCGAATATCTTATTTGCATTAATCTAATAGTAAAAGAGCCAATAAAATATAAAGGAACCTGCATTTTAGTACTGGAATTTTTTTTTATTTGGATTGAAAAATGTGTGGAAAATGTTGTCTACTTTTTTACACCATTTCCTGATAGATTACATCAATGCTTCCTAGTGATGTACCCTACTGTGAAAACAAAACAAAACATAAGCAAAAAAAACTTTCACTAAGATTCATAGCATAAACTAACATTAAATTCAAAATTATTCATGTTGTCCCTTGGCATAGTGGCATACAAATACATAATGAGACTGATTCTATGGATAAATAATGGAATATGCAAAATGGCTCTAGTTAGAAAAGTTCGTGGTAACTTTTATGGCTAATTCACTTTACGAGTTTCATCAGGGCATCCCTGCTAATTACACGGAATGTGTGCACCTATGTCGTGAGAATTAATTTGCTTAAGTTGTCTTTAATGAATAAAAACATTGCAAATTTTGTTAAGGCCTGTTTCTACTACTTTTATTTAACATGTATCCTACAGAAATGTGTTTATCAGTTTCTCAAAATCTACTTTTGGCTTTGTTAATACTCTATCTTAATTATATTTTTTATCTTATATATTTCTATTTTATTTTAAAAATATTTTATTTGCTATTGTTTTAGAATAGGTATGCATGAACATCGTATAAAATTCAAAATGTGCATGTTGGTATTCAGTAAAATGTATGCTGTCTTTTCAGCCTGTCCGGAGCTCTGTTACCCTTTCTAGAGTAAACCACTGTTACTAGTCTCTTGATTGTCTTTACAGCTTTATTTAATACATAGATAAGTATATACATATTATTCTCTATATAAATGACATCATATTTATACACACTATTTTGTACCTTGATTGTTTCTCTTACCATTTTAGCTGTAACAGAGTTTGGCAAACTGCAGCTCACAGATCAAATCTAGCCCACCTTTTGTTTTACGAGAATAAAGCCACACTCATTTATTGCTCTCTTGTTTATGGCTGCTTTCATGCTATAACACCAAAACCGAATAGTTGTAATAGAGACCTTATGACCTCCAAAGGCTAAAATATTTACTATCTGGTATTATGCAGAAAAAAAAAGTTTGCTGATCCTTGATCTAGAAGGTCTTTTAATACCTGTATATGTAGAGGTATCTAACACTTTTTAACAACTTTATAATAGTGCACTGAGAAAAGGGGACATAAACAGTTTTATGTTTTCTATTTTTTAACTTTTATTTTAATCTCAGGGGTACATGTGCATGTTTGCTATGTAGCTAAACTTGTGTTATGATGGTTTGTTGTACAGATTATTGCATCACCCAGGTATTAAGCCTAGTAGTCATTAGTTATTTTTCCTGATCCTCTTCCTCATCCTACCCTGCACCCTCAGAAAGGCCCCAGTGTGTGTTGTTCTCTATGTGTCCATGTGTTGTCATCATTTTTCTCCCACTTATAAGTGTTTTTTTGTTTCTGCATTAGTTTCCAAAGGATAATGGCCTCCAGCTCCATCTATGTCCCTGTAAAATACATTATTTCATTCTTTTTGATGGCTGCATAGTATTCCATGGTGTATATGTACCGTATTTTGAAGCTAACTTTATAGCCACAATATGATATGACACATTATATTTTTGGACTATATTTGTAGACTATTCTCTAGAAACATTAATAAAAATAGGGTTTTCCTCCCTACCTCTACTTCTTAAGTTCCTTCCCTGCTACGATTCTATTTAATTGATTATACTTTTTCACTTTAATTATCAGTTTAAGATAATATTTGACCTCAAAGTATAAATTATGCATATATAACCATGCTAAACTAATTTTTACCTTCTCAATCTTTCTCTACACTTTCAACTTACAACATTGAGATTCTTACTGTCTGGATTTACAATACTCACATTTGTTTTTAGAATCACAATGCCCCATTTGATGTAGTCCTAGTCTTTCGGCAAATGAGAGGTGGTGCTTACTTATTAGTATGTTTGCTATAGTTTTTCTTCCTCTGGAGATCTTTTCAAGAAATACAAATAATAATTATATTATTTCAAATCTTGAATATTTAATTAAAAAGCCAAATGCCTTTCATATCAATTATAATGATCTGATATTTTTCTTCATTCTATTCATGTAGCATATTAGATATAATAATTTTCCTGTGTTGACACACCTGTATACTTGGCATAAGCCCTACTTGGTTGTGCTGTATAAATCTTTTAATATGTTTTGAATTCAGTTTGTTGAAGATTTTTGTATTTATTCATGAGTAGTATTGGTCTGCAGTTTTCTTGTAATACCTTTGGCTTTGGTGGTAGGTTAATACTGGCTTCATAGAACAAATTAGGAAATGTTCACTTCCATTTCTCAGAAGAGTTTGAGAAACATTGGTGTTAATTTTTCTTTAAGTATTTGGTAGTATTTGCCAGTTAAATAATTTGACCCTGGGCTCTTGTTTGTTGAACGTTTTCTGCTTATGTAATCAATCTTTTTATCTGTTCTAGTGGTATTCAGTTTCATATTTCTTCTTGAATCATTTTGATAGATTCTGTTTCTTAGAAATTTATCCATTTCATCTAGGTTATGCAATTTGTTGGTGTACAATTGTTCATATCATTATTCTCTTATAATCCTCTTTAATTTCAATAATGGTGGTAATAATATCCTCATGTCCGTTCCTGATTTTAGTAGTTTCAGTCTTTTTTTTCCCCTAGTTAACACTAGTTAACAGTTTGTCAATTTTTAAAATCTTTTCAAATAGCCAATTTTGGTTTTGTTTATTCCTTTTATTTTTCTCTTCACTATTTGATCTCTAATCACTATTATTTTTTTCTACTAATTTTTGATTTTGTCTGCTTTTCTTTTTCTGACTTGTTGAGGCGTAAAGTTAGGTTAATTTGAGACCTTCCTTCTTTTTTAATGTGGCATTTATAGCTATAAATTTCTGCAGTGGTCTGAAAGGTGTGTTTCCTCAAAATTCATGTGTTGAAACCTAATCATCAAAGTGAAGATGTTAGAAGGTAAGGCCTTTGGAAAATGATTAGGTCATGAAGGTGGAGCCAACCTCATGAATGGGATCAGTGCCTTTATAAATAGGCCCCCAGAGAGTTACTTTGCCTCTTTTTAGCATGTGATGATACAGCTGGAAGATGCCATCTATGAAACACAGAGTGAACCCTCACTAGATACTGAATCTACCAGCGTCTTGATCTTGGAGTTCCCAACCTTCAGAACTGTAAGAAATAAATTTTATAATTTATAAAGTCACCCAGTTTATGGTGTTTTGTTATTACAGTTCAAATGCACTAAGGATTTTCTTCTGATTACTATTTTCACAGCTTATTAATAATATTATTTATTATATAATATGTTTATAATATCAATATTATCAAATGATATTAATATAACATATTATGAATTATAATATCAATATTATTAAATAATAATATTAATAATATTAATTAATATTATTTTAATTCAGCTCAAAGTATTTTTCAGTTTTATAATTTATTATTTGATCCATTCTTTAAGACTGTGTTGTTTAATTTCCACATTTTTGTAATAGTTCCTTCTGCTATTGATTTTTAATTTCATTCTACTGTGATTGACAAAGATATTTTATGATTCAGTTTTTAAAAATTTGAGATTTTTGCATCCTAAAATATTTTATCCTGAATAATATTCCATGTGCACTTGAGAACAAATACGTATTTTGCTGTTGAGTGGGGCGTTCTCTATATGTTTGTTGGATCTAATTGGTTTATAGTATTGTTCAAGTCTTCTACGCACTTGTTTCTCTCTCTCTCCCTTTTTTTTTTTCTCGTGGTTGTTATACCCATTATTGAAAGTTAGGTGCCGAAGTCTCCAACTATTATTATTGAACTATCTATTCCTCCCTTAAATTCTGTTTGGTTTTGCTTCATATATTTGAGACTTGTTAGGTGCATAAATGTAACATAATTGTCATATCTTCTTGATGAATTGACCTCTTTATTGTTACCTACAGTAATCTTTCCTTATCCAAAACTTTTGCCTTTTGTGGTTTCAGTTGTGGTCAATAGTGACCCAAAATTATTAAATACAAAATTTCAGAAATAAGTATTTCATAAATTTTAAATTGGACAGCATTCTGAGTAGCGTGATGAAATCTTGTGTCATCATAAGATTTGTCCCACTTAGGATGGGAACCACCCCTCTGTCGAGTGCATCCACACTGTATACATCACCTGCCTGTTATTCACTTGGTAGCTGTGTATCAGATCCATGGTTACTGTATCTCAGTGCTTGTGTTCAAGTAACTCCTATTTTACTTAATAATGGCCCAAAAGCACTAAGGTAGTGATGCTGGCAATTCAGTTATGCCAAAGAGAAGCTGTAAAGTGCTTCTTTTAAGTGTAAAGGTGAAAGTACTACATTTAATAACAAAAAATTGTATGCTAAAGTTTCTAAGGTCTACAGTAAAAATGAATGTTATATCTGTAAAGCTGTGGAGAAGATAAAAATGATTTCTGCACTATGTATAGGTAGTATCAGTGGTTTCAGGAATCCACTGGGGATATCGGAACATATCTCCATGATAAGGGGGTATGAATGTAATGTCCTTCTTTGTCTCTTATAGTAATGTTTGTATTTAAATATATTTTATCTAACTTAGTATAGCCCATACCGCTGTTTTTTGGTTACTGTTTGTATGGGATATATTTTTCCTCCTTTCAATTTTAAATTATTTGGGTTTTTGGATCTAAAGTGAATCTCTTATAGACAATATATAGTTGGACCATTTTTTAAAAGCCATTCTTCCAGTCTCTGCCTTTAAATTGGAACATTTAATCCATTTGTTGTAATGTAATTACTGATAAGAAAGGAATCACTTCGGCCATTTTGCTATTCATTTTACATGTCTTTTTGTTGCTCAATTTCTCCATTACTGTCTTCCTTTTTATTAGATAGATATTTTCTATTGTACCATTTCAATTCCTTTTCTCATTTGTTAAACTATATAATTTTTAGTTATTTTCTTAGTCGTTGCCAGAGCATTATAATTAATGTATTAATTTATAACAATTTAGCTCAAATAAGTACCAACTTACTTTCAATAGTGTACAAAACTTTGCTCCTATATAGCTCTACTATCTCTTTATTTAATTATTGTCACAAGTTACATGTTTATACATTTTGTGTCCATCACTATTCATTTATACTTATTGTTTTATGCATTTGTTCTTTAGGGAATAAAGAGTAGTAAAACTAAACTACATTACTATGAATATCTGTATTTATCTTTGTAGCTATGTTTTTTGAAGTTCTTTATTTCTTCATGTAGATTTGAATTACTGTTTAGTGTCCTTTCATTTCAGTCTGAAGAACTCCCTTTTCTTCCCTTTACATCTCTCCCTCCCTTCTACTTTTCACTTCTTCTTGTCCTATTTCTGCCTGTTCTCATTTTATAATACCACTAACATATATTCTGTAATCTCTGTGTTCCTTAAATAACATGTTTTCAAAACCTTTATCAAAAGTTCTAATATATTCATTTAATCTGAATAAATTAATCTAGTGAGCATTGGTTTCATTTTCTGTCTCCCATAACATTAGCTATCTTCTTCTGTTTGAATTTTTGTTTGCAGGCTTATATTTCTCTCTTTTATTTTGTCTTAACTTGACATACCTTTTGTTGGTTTTTCAATTATTCACATCTTTTTAGACTCCAAATTCCTCACCAGGCCTGTTATTGACAGATTAGTGCTCCTCCAGTGCAATGATACTGCAAAATGTTTTAAACTCGATCACTGACTTAATAAGTGGGCTGTTGAGTTCCTGTCATGAGACTACCTTTCCTCCTGCCTCTGTAAGCCAGCAGCTTCACTTAAGATTAGCCCCAGGTAAAGGTTTGCAATAGATTTCTTCAGCCTTCTCTACTGAACCCTTGAGACCAGTCTCAATCTTTGTTTCAAGTGTCAACTTGACTCTGAGACCTTGCCTTGCATAAAGCAAATTCTACATCTAATACTCTGAGGAAGTTCATGCTGGATCTGTCCAGTTGCTTCTAAACAACATGAAGGCCAACTTGCTTATAGTTCAGCTCACTTCAGAACTCACCACTTTTCATTTCTATCCCATTTATTTCACAGAAATACGACTATTTTGTAAGCCTGATTATTTCCTTCTCTCATCGGTTCATCTGTTTTTTTTTTTTTTTTTTTTTCTTTTCTGTCTATTACTGTTATGTGTCTGGGAACAAGAGGAGAGTCTAAATGTGTCTAAATAAATGCAAGATCTTGCAGAACCAAACCTATGATAGAACTAAGATCTGTAATAGAAAGTATTATTGTGAACCAAGATCATGCCACTGCACTCCAGCCTGGCGAAAGAGCAAGATTCCATCTTAAAAAAAAAAAAAAAGTATTATTATTGAGAAATGGAATTATAGAATTCCTGATATGTTTTGAGTTTTTCTTACAGAAGAATATTGATACCAAGGAGGTCAAACATGCAGTCCTACTGCTCTACCAACTATCTCTCTTATCAATGAAACACATCAATAATTGATTCCAGTATGTTTTTCCATTTGATCTGAATACAGCATTAGATATTTCTCATATAAAAAATAAAAATCAGGACTGGCATAAGAAATAAAATGTATCAGCCATTGTATGCAAGATTTTAATTTATTTTTGTAATTTATAACTCTAATACCTCTACTCATTTTTTAAAATTTCCCCTTATTTTGGTCTCATGATTTTTTGCCTGAAAATCTAGCAAGAACTCACTTACCTAGGTAATTCTTGTGTTTTCTTGCTATAACTCCCACTGTCCTACCCTATGAAATTTGAGTTATTTCCTATTCGATTTTCCTGAAATTTATATGCAATATAGAATAAGCCATCCTTTCAGGATAATATATTTATGTAATGAGTGTCATTTGGAAATAATACTCTGAGCTATATAAATAGATGAAGACCCATTATTTTGAGATGGTTTCTCTTTTGTTGTCCCTAGTATTCTAATATTTATATAACTGTTTCTCTCTGAATAACATAAACATTTAAATCTATTCCTAAGTAAATATCTAATTCAAATTATGTAATTTTGCCCTATAAATCCAAAGTGAAAAAATAATTTAAAAATGATTATATACAAATATAGTAAAAATAATTGTTGTTTTTAGTAATTGTGAAAAATCTAGCTTATTTAAATTTGTAATGATTCTCCATTTATTTCCAGTGTTAAGTGGGGAAAGCTGATACTAGTATATATTAGTAGAAATTTGAAAAACATACACTTGAATATCTTTAATATCTTCAGTGTTGCTCAAATTTTTAGTGAAGTATTGATTATAAGAGATTAGACTCAGCACTTGGCATTTTAATAAGATACTAAACAGTCTTAAAAATAATTGTAGTCTTTATGTCCTACCTTATACAAATAAATAAATGAAAACAGAAATTTTCTGGACAAACTGCCATTTCTCACTTCATACTCTTTGAAGAAGTTGCACAACAGTACCATGCACAGCTCTAAAGTTTTCTGGCTCTGTTCCCAGTGATCCCTTGGAGACTGCAGTCCTGTGCAAGTTCATCCCCAATGTTTCTGGAATCACCTTTGAGTGATTATCTGAGATATGCTAAGAGAACTCAATCTCTAATGTACAAAGATGAAATTCTCCATTTCTCCTTTCCTAACTTGATACTATCTTGAAATATTGCTGCGATCCAAGTGGTAAGTCAGTTCCCGAATTCTCTAAAATTACCACTTTTTCTGATATTGGGAGGTCATGGCTGGTGCTCCTGATGCTTCCAGTACCCAGAGCCCCAAACACTGCAGTAAAAACCAATTGAAATTCTATGATTAATGCTTATGTTCATCAGCAGCAGAATAACTGTTACCTCCAAGTTGTGATGCCTTTTTAAATGGCAGTCAACATTTCACAGAAATTTAGAGAAGTACATTTTAGTTTGTAGAATCTTGATTACTGGGGTTGAACTTGAATCTGTAGGACCTATTTGGGAGCAGTGTTGAGAAACAGATAATCAACCTTCTCTTCTGATGTCTTACCTCCTAGCTTAAACCAAACTCGGGAAGCTGCTAGGTCTTGTTCGTTAAGGGCCTCTGCCTTCCTGCCTCATCTTGTTCATTAGTCATGTTTACTACACACATCTAGATCTTAGTCAGCCTTTCTCATAGGCTGGCTATGTGGTCTCATAAGTTTAATAGAGGTTTTTGAAGAAAATTTCATATTATTGAACAGAGATAAAAATCGCTCTGTGACAAAATGCATTTTGATATTTCATGTTAAAATTCAAAATATAGCTGGGTATCTACAAAATGATTGTTGAGTGAAACTTTATTCCAAATTCCATTTGATAGACTTTTAAAAAATTATTGAAAAAGAGACCAGACTATAATAAATATTGACTATCAAAACATAGATAATGATTTTAAAATGTATAATGCCTGTCCATATGAAGAGTGTGAATGCTGAGTAGGAGTAATTAATTCTCTTTTCTAGTAAATTGTGATATTCAATTAATTTCTTTTCAAATTTTGTATCTGTTTGGAACGGAAATGCTTTATTGGGAAAGCATCATTGGTGACTGTAGCTGCTAAACAGAAAGATACTCAGGCAACCCTGTAATGATATCTGTTTTCCAATTTCTGAAAATAAATGCCTTGAATGTAAAATGAGAGGTATAATGTTTAATTAGAAATCATTGACATCGCTCTCAGAAGAAAGTGCCTCTCCCTGGTGACAAGGGTCACAGTGGAATATTAACTGGGTATTTTACAAATTCTACTGGGTAGATAACCTAGTCTTGCTTTTCTAGATGATCTCGAAGAGCTCATTAAATAGCAAAACTCACATATGATGCTATGCATGATTTCTCAAATGCTGGAGGATTAAATCCCAGTGACCCACTAGCTTGTCCACTCCATTTGATACTGTGGTTTTGGCTTGGAGTGGCTGATATAAGTCAGTACCTTGACAGATAAATGGCATTTGTTTAATTTAAATGATACTCATCACACTGCCTTTTGTTCTAAAGCACTGTGAGGTTAATTGAGCAGACATGAAAAATTAGCCAGGCTAAAATTGCCTCTCCTCTAAATCAGAATTATTAATTCACCTTAATTTAGAGCGTCTCCATTTTCTCTGATACACTGAATCATGTAGACTGTTTAAGGGAGAAAATGCTAACGATAATAACCCAATTTAAAATTTTTCATGTGACTAAGAATTTCAGCATAGTCAAATTTAACAGATTTCAAATTCTAACCCTGGAAATATGACTTTTAAATCTTACTATTTACTCTATTATATAGAAAGGGAAACATGAGAGTAGGTCTTATCAGTCACTTTTAACTTGCAAGTTTGCTTATGACCTTCGAAACAATTTCACACTAAATATAATCTTCGATTTTATGAATACACAATGTCTTTCCATTTTATATCGATAACAATGCGTTTCAGACTTCATATCTTATAGCACTATAATTAAGGCCACATTCACCGTGTTTCCATATAGTAAGTAATTACAAAGGTGATTGGAACATTTCTGTAGAGGATTAGCGCCATTTATCAAGTAGTGACTATTGCGGAATAAATGAGCAGAGGCACCCTTCCGCTAAACTATCTTCCCCCCTCTCCCTGAAGAGTATGAACGGGCTGAATAGGATTATTTACTACAGTCCAGTGAACTTCATCATCTATAGCTAAGTGCAGTTCCTAAAGCAAGGGCCACCAGGGAAGATTAAGAGTCTGTCTGAAGAGAGTGCTGTCTCCTATTGCAACTCCTCTTTACTAGTCAACTTCTTTCCCTTCCAAAGTCGAGTTTACATGTACAAATTAAGCATATCTTATATATGGATTGCGTGCTAAATTTAGACATCCTTCATAGCCAGAATTGTGTTTCAAAAATCTCTTAAGTCTATATGACATATACCCTTTAATTCTAAAAAAGCAAATATTAACTTTTTTCATAGTTTTATTGTACTGATATATATTTATGTATAGTAATATATTTTTACAGATGTACTTAAATATCTTTTTTAATGTGTTTGTATACTTTTCTCGTTTGTATATTTTAATGTGTTTGTATATTTTTCTCATTTCTGTGCCCTACTTTTATCAAGTCACTAGTACAACACAGAGTCCAGTTCTACCCATGGAAATTCAGTTGTAAACATGACTAATAAACAGATACATTAATGAAGCTACAGAGAACTTGAGGCAGCAGGCATTGTAAGCAAAAGTGCATAGTGAACTCTGCAGATGTCATGTAATATGAGGAATTATTCACAGGTGATATTCCTATAAGGACAACTAAGCTTCTTTAAATTTACATGTATGAATTTGGATACAATTTTTAAATGAATAGGGGCAAAAGAGCATTGAATAAAGGCAAAGGTAATTAAAAATATATTGTTTGTACAGATATCATTTTTATCAATAGTAATTTCTACATGCATTTGGAGATAAAAATCATTAAACAATCCAAAAAAAGCAATGTTTGATTTCTTCCAGGGATTTTTACTTTAATTTCATTAATGATTGTCAGGCCTAGAAAGCCAAAGGGCCCAATAGAATCATCTTTTTAAAAATTCTTTTTAAACCATCTATAACAAACCCACAGCCAACATTATACTGAATGGGCAAAAACTGGAAGCATTCCCCTTGAAAACCAGCAAAAGGCAAGGATTCCCTCTCTCATCACTCCTATTCAATATAGTATTCGCAGTCCCGGCCAGTGCAATCATGCAAGAGAAAGAAATAAAGGGCCTCCAAATAGGAAGAGAGAAAGTCAAACTGTCTCTACTTGCAGATGACGTGATTCTATATTTAGAAAACCACATAGTCTTGGCCCAAAAGCTTCTTCAGCTGATAAACAACTTCAGCAAAGTTTTAGCATACAGAATCAATGCATGAAAATCACTAGCCTTCCTATACAGCAACAATAGCAGCAATAGCCAAACTGAGAGCCAAATCAAGAAAACACTCCCATTCACAATTGCCACAACAAGAATAAAATAACTAGGAATTTTATTTAGCTAACAAATACAGCTAACCAGGGAAGTGAAAGATCTTACAATGAGAATTATAGAATGCTGCTTAAAGAAACCAGAGAAGACAGAAAATTTTAAAAAAATGGAAAAGCATCTCATTCTCATGGATAGAAAGAAGGAATATCATTAAAATGGCCATACTTCCCAAAGCAATTTACAGAGTCAATGCATTCTTATCAAACTACCAATGACATTCTTTAGAGAACTAGAAAAAAAATTTAAAATGTATATGAAACTAAAAAAGAGCCCAAATAGCCAAGGTAATCCTAAGCAAAAAGAACAAAGCTGGAGGCATCATGTTACTTGACTTCAAATTATACTACAGGGCTACTGTAGACAAAACAGCATGGCACTGATACAAAAACAGGCACATAGACCAATGAAACGAATAGAGAGCCCAGAAATAAGGCCACATATCTATGACAATCTGATCTTTGATAAAGCTGACAAAAACAAGCAATGGGGAAAAGACTCTATTTAATACATGGTGCTGGGATAACTAGCTAGCCATATGCAGAAGATTGGAGCTGGACCCCTTCCTTATACCATACACAAAAGTCAACTCAAGATGGATTAAAGACTTAAATGTGAAATTCAAAACTCTGAAAACCCTGGAAGACAATTTAGGGAATATTGTTCTTGACATAGGAATGGGCAAAGGTGCCCAGGTCTTTGCATCATGACAAAGATGCAAAAAGCAATTGCAACAGAAACAAAAATTGACAAACGGGATCTAATTAAACTAAAGAGTTTGTTTCACAGCAAAAGAAACTATCAACAGAGTGAACAACCTACAGAATGGGAGAAAATATTTGCAAACTATGCCTCTAACAAAGGTCTAATATCAAGAATTCATAAGGAACTTAAACAAATTTACAAGAGAAAAACAAACAACCTGATTAGAAAGTAGGCAGGGGACATGAACACCCACCTTCAAAGAAGACATACATGCAGCCAATAAGCATATGAAAAAAAGCTCAATATCACTGATCATTAGAGAAATGCAAATCAAAACCACAATGAGATACCGTCTTACAACAGTCAGAATGGCTATTATTAAAATGTCAAAAAATAACATGCTGGTGAGGTTTCAGAGAAAAGGAAACATTCATACACTGTTAGTGGGAGCGTAAATTAGTTCAACCATTGTGGAAAGCATATGGTGGTTCCTCAAAGAGCTAAAAGCAGAACTGCCACTTGACCCAGCAATCCTATATTGGGTATATACCCAGAGGAATGTAAACCATTCTACCATAAAGACACATGCATATTAATGTTCATTGCAGCACTATATACAATAGAAAAGACATGGAATCAATCTAAATGTCCATTAATGATGGATTGGGTAAAGAAAATGTGGTACATATACACCATGGAATACTATGCAGCCATAAAAAAAGAACAAGACTTCTGTAGGAACACGAATGGAGCTGCAGGCTATTATCCTTAGCAAACCAACACAGGAACAGAAAACCAAATACCATATGTTCTCACTTATAAGTAGGAGCTAAATCATGAGAACTTATGAACACAAAGAAGGAATCGAGAGACACTGGGGTCCATTTGAGGGGGAAGGTAGGAGGAAGAAGAGGAGCAGAAAAGATAACTATTGGGTACTGGGCTTAATATCTGACTGATAAAATAATCTGTACAACGAACACCCATGACCTGAGTTTACCTATGTAACAAAACCTCACATGTTTTCCTGAACCTAAAATAAAAGTTTTCTTTTTAGATAATCATTTCTTAAATTATGGCCCAAGTTACATGTTTTGAAAGTATTTCTGTCATCACAAAATATCAATGTTCTCTGGCTGGTAAAATTGTAAAACGTTATTTTTTGAATACATTATACCTTTCTCTATTTAACAAAGTGAATCCAAGCCAAACTCCTGTTTAATACACTACATCAACTTTAAAACTTTATTAAAGATACTAATAAGAACTTTGTTCAGAATCTTCTCATTGACTTTCAAATCTTCTACCTCAACATACCCAATGGTATATTGTCAAACAAGTGGTGTCTGTGGCCTGTTGTCAGAAGCAGAAGTTGGAATACTTCTCCCCACTGCATCTGAGTATTGGAGTTGCCAAGGAAAACACAATGCAGTCGAGCACTGGGCCAATACACTTTACTCACAAAGAAAAGAGACAGAGGAAGACCAGCTTCAGTAGTAGGCATTGGTCTTCCATGGCCAGCAGGTCCTGGGAACTGGCACGGCGCAATTAGCCTGCACACTGTTCTTGCGCTGCAACAGAAGGACTCTGTCCACTCCCCACAGGGGACAGACATAGTAGTGTAGTTGGCCAGGTGCCATATAATTCACATGCTAAAGTAGAACAAAGACATATACATTGAGTCTAAAACCGGAAAAGCGATTCATATACAAGGTGTTAAGTATGGCATGGGGTGTGAGGCCTCTTCACTCTTGGTTGGAAAGTGTTCCATTCTTAGCTGACTGAGAGGAGGTCAAAAGACTGCACAGAAGATTGCCTTTTTCAACATACATTTCTACCTATATATCAAAATTGGAAAAAGCCAAATAATTTTTGCTGGGATTTTAAAAAAATGTGCATAATGAAAAAAAATGGAATTCAATCATATGGAAGAGCCATGGTAAACTGTAACTCTGAAGAAGTGTATTTATAATCAAATACGGATTGTTGATTGTGATGAAGAAAATTTGGTTTCATTGAAATGCAGGATATTTATGTACATGGAAAATAACCGGTTAAATGATACAATGAAGGAAAAAATTCCTCCTACAGGAAAAAAAAATCAACTAATATGAAGAAAATTTGGTTTCAGTGAAATGCAGGATATTTATATACATAGACAATAGCCAGTTAAATGACACAATGAAGGAGAAAATTCCTCATACAGGAAAAAAAAAAACCACTATTATGAAGATAATTTGGTTTCACTGAAATGCAGGATATTTATATACATAGACAATAGCCAGTTAAATGATACAATGAAGGAGAAAATTCCTCATACAGAAACAAAAATCAACTAAGTATAAAGATACTAGGCAATGTGGAGGGGATAAAACAACAAATAAGGAAGTCAATACAATGCTCTTGAAAGGAACAAGAGTATAGTTGAACAAAAGAAAAGCATTTGCAAGAAAGAAAATGTTCTTTCTTTTTTTCTTTCTTTATTATCATTAAAAATTTCTGTAGAGACAGAGTCTCCCTATGTTGCCTAGGCTGGTCTTGAATGCTTGGGCTTAAGCAATCCTCCTTCCTCGGCCTCCCAAAGTGCTGGGATTACAAGCAGGAACCACTGAACTTGGCCTGCAAGAAATAAAGTATTCTTGTATGGAATATTTGAACTTTATAGAATGTCAATTGTCCCTAGTTTTTTTATGTTAAATTATAAATATGACTGAATCACAATAAAATATGCATTTTTTCTAGAAGCTAGATAAGTTGAATTTAAAATTTATTCAGAAAGATAATTATGCAAGAATAGCCTGGGAAAGATTGAAAACAAAAATTGTTGGAAAAGGGTTTGAGGGTGTTGTTTATTAAAGTATAATAGAGAGGAGTGACATTAGCAAGAGGGCAGGAGAAAGTCCCCTACTCATATCTTTCCACAGCAAAAATAATTTTGCAGCCATCCATGGACAAAAGTGCCTTTGTGGGAGCCCTGGTATTCAGACAGGAAGTTGTGAAAGCCCAAAGGACCACAATACCTGAGAGGGGCATTTTGAGAAGGCACACCCATGCCCGGGTGATAGAATCATCAAGTGAGTTTCCTGCTCCAGACCAGAAAACTGTTACATCCCCCTGTGGACTTGGCTACGTGCACATTTGGCCTTGATCCTGCTACCTGAACCATCCGCTCAAGAGAACTGGGAAAAGCCACACCCGCTTATGTCTCAAGTCATAGATCTGCCAATCTCTGTCCCAGTTGTGGACCCTGAAGTGGCCCTGAAATTCAGCTTTAGCTCCTCTCAACTGCATTCTGAGAGTAGGCCTGTTTGAACAGAATGCAAAGGAAAAAATGTCCATATGAATCGCCAGGGCAGTCTTGCTGATTTAAGTTCCATAGCAGGTCCTGAAACAACTCCAAAACTCAACTTCAATACCTCTTACCTGCAGTTTGAAAAGAGATCAACTGGGAGACATGTCTGCCTATGGCCCCAGAGGCAGGCCCGCAGAGCTTGGTCTTGGCTGTGGACTCTAAAGTATCCCTTTGACTTGGTGCCGAGCTCTCTTAGCCACAATCCTGGGCCAGTATTCCTTATCCAGGGACTCCACAAATGACCCACTGGGAGCCCTCTCAGTGATCCAGAGAAAGGGATAGCTATCTGTGTACCTGATAAGGGCCCACTGTCTGTGGATTCTGAACAGACCCTCATTCCAGTGCGAACTCTAAAGACCAAGGTCCTGGAGGTAATTCAGTTCCCCCAAAGACCAGACAAGATCCACACTTACTACAGTCCATGACAATTTGGCCTGCCAAGTGAGGACCCCACTGTAAACTCAGCAGCAGCCACATGACCTGGCTCCAACTCTACTTGACCGTGATGCTGGAAGCAATCCTGTTAGCTTGTGGGCCTCAGAGGAGAAGGCCTTTACCTGCCTAAGCCAGTCTGTAAAGACTGAAAGAGGTTATTCTTCTTTCAAATACAGAGACAGCAATGCAAGTTCACTTGAATAATGAGGAATCAGGCAAACGTGACACCCTTAAATAAAACTAATAAAGCTTCAGTAACTGACTCCAAATAAGGGAGATCTATAACTTGCTTGAAAAATAATTCAAAATAACTATTTTAAAGAAACTTAATGAAATGGAGAAAATACAGATAGACAACTAAATAAAGAGAAAAATAATGCATGAACAAAATGAGAAGTTTAATAAAGAGGTAGAAATTATAAAAAGGAACCAAACAGAAACGATGGAGATGAAGAAGACAATGACAGAAATAAAAAAAAAAAAATTCGATAGAGAACTTCAACAGCAAACTTGATCATGTAGAAGTAAGAATTAGCAAACCCAAAGGGAGGTCATTTGAAATTAGGCAATTAGAAGAAGAAAAAAGAAAAAAATTGTAAAGAAAGCATAAAGGAAACATGGCACACTATCAAGCATACAAATATACAGATTATAGAAGTTTCAGAAAGTGAAGAGGGTGAAAAAGGGACAAAAAGTTTATTTAAAGACATACTGGCTGAAACTTTCCAAACTTTGGGAGGGATATGGACATCCAGATCCATGAAGAAAATGAGTGAAACAAAGTAAGAAATTCAATTTGTGAGAATTACAATGGTAAATTAGACTGCCAACATCTGAATAAACTGACTAATTTTAACATCTCTAAATATGTGACAATAAGACTTGCTGTACCTCCTGGTATGATACAATAAGTACACACTACCGCCGATGATGCTTTTTTGCTAAAAAATATTCAAGCTAAGTCTTATGCCACTAAATATATATACCCATTCACAGGCAATTTAGGGGCTAAAGAAACATGTTCAATGACCTAATGCGGAAGTAGGCCAAATCTAGAACATGGGAAATTTTATAAGGCAAATAAGCTTATCTTCAACAAATAAATGCTGTGAAAAAATGGCAAGGCCATGGGGACAGTACAGGTGAAAGGAAACTATGTAAGGGGCATTTTAAGCAAATGCAATAAGTTGAGCTGATGTGAATCTAATTTGATCAAACCAAAAATCAGGAATATTTGGACACATATTAGGTATCAATTAACATTAAATACTGTTGACCTGATTAAGTGTGATAATGGTGTTGTGGTTAGCTTTAAAAAAACTCTATTTTTTAGAGATATTACATTGTGAAGAATTTATAGGAGAAATGATATGTCAGGGTTTTGCTTTAAAACACTGAAATAAAATATGTGGGAAATAGAAGAGAGATTAGCAAACATTGATAAATGTTGAAACTAGGTGTTCAATATATGATCAGTTTATTATACTATCATTTTTACTGTCTTACATTTAAACATTTTCATCATAAAATGAAAATATTCAAATATACACAACAAAAGCTGTGCTGCTGAGTCATATGCCATCATTTTAAGCCAGAGTTGGGAATGGGTGACTAATTGGCAACAATGGAACCCACGCAGTAGCAGAATATGCTTCTGTTTTGACAAGCAAAAACAAGCACATAAGAAAGTACTTTTATTTCCTTCTAGCTGCATGAAGGAGTTAATTAAAACCATGGCAAAAAAATATTATTTTAAAAAGAAGCCACTCTCTTTTGAAAAGAAAAGGAGAGCACTGATCAAAGCCTGGCTATTCTGGAAAACAGACCCTGTGGTTCCAATACACAGCTCCTGTCAAGTCTAATAAAGGTAAAAGATACAAATAGGTGAAAACAATTATAGACAGCAGTATTTAATGCTAATATTTGTCTTTCTGTTATTTTTGTATGTGCTTCACAATAAGTAGCATTTCCCCATGTTTTCTGATTGACTATGAATGAATCATGAGCACATTTATGTTATCATTGGATACCCTTATGTAATGATATATAGTCAAACACTTCATAACAACAATTAACAGCAGACCTCATATTCTACAGTGGTTCTATAAGATTATAATGGAGCTGAAATATTTCCATCACCTAGTGATGTCATAAGCATCATAACGTCATAGTGCAACACATTACTCATGTGTTTGTGGTGATGCTGATATAAACACACTTACTGCACTGCTGCTCATAGACAAATATAGCACATACAAGTATGTATAGTATGTAATATTTTATAATGATAATAAATGATGGTTTCTGGTTTAGGTATTTACTATATGATTTATCATTATTTTAGAATGTACTCCTTCTACTTAAAATAAAGTTGAGTATAAAGCAGCCACAGGCAGGTCCTTCATGAGGTATTACAGGCGAAGGCATTGTTACTGTAGATGACGATCCCAGGCCTGTTATTGGCACTGAAGACATTCCAGTGGGACAAGATGTGCAGGTAGGATACAGTGATATTGATGATCCTGCTCTTATATAGGCCTAGGCTACTGTTTATGTTCGTGTCTTCGTTTTTAACAAATAAAGTTTTAAAAGTTCAAAAAAAACCTTACCATAGTAAAAAGTGTATTCAATAAGGATATTTAAAAAGAAGATAATTTGTACAGCTGTGTAGTTACTTCTGTTTGTGTTTTAGCTAGGTGTTATCACAGAGCCAAAAAAATAAAAAAAAAGTTAATTTGTTATTGAAGAACAATATTAAAAAATAAATTTAGTCTAGCCCAAATGTGCAAGTGTACAGTGTTTATAAAGTCAATAGTAGTGTACAGTAATGTTGTAGGCCTTCACATTCACTCACCACTCCCTCACTGACTCGCCTATAGCAATTTCCAGTCCTGCAAGATCTATTCATGGTAAATACTATATACAGGTGTACCATTATAAAAATATTTTATACCAGATGCTTACTGTACCTTTTCTATGCTTAAATGTTTAGATATATAAATACTTGCTATTGTGTTACAATTGGCTACAATAATCTGTACAGTAACATGCTATACAGGTTTATATCCTAGGAACAATAGGCTATACCGGCTGTACCATACAGCTTATGATGTTTGCACAACCAAAGTGCCTAATAACACATTTCTCAGAACATATACCTGTTATTAAGTGACACATACTCTCTCTCTATATATATGTATATATGTATCTGTATTTGTGAATAAATATACACACATATGATTATCAGTATATAAGAATATAAGATATGGTAAACATTTTTTAAAACACAACTTAAAAATATATATATATATTTCCCCAAAACTAAAAAATATATATACAAAGATGAGTCTTGATTTATATCTTTTGAATAAATCTACTGTATTTTTTCAAAGTTTTAATTGCCAATACTTTAATAATAATTATAAAACTAATGTGTTCAAAACCTCTCTTTCTTCCAAAAGTAAAAAATACAATTTTACATATGGAGGAAATACTATGTGACAAATAGTTGCTTTTCATTTTATTGATGTTGCTCAAAGAAACATTACAGAATAGATACCATTTTCCATATCTCTTCTAAGAAAACTTGAGGCTTAGAGATGTTAAATATTTTCTTTCAGAGATATATCTATGAAAGAAAATATTTAGTTCTGTAATTATTATATTTTATTATTTGTTCTAATTTTGATATAATACAATGTAATAGAAAATTTTATATACTCTGCTGTTCTTGAAATAGCACTTTTTCCTATTGGCAATACATTTCCAAATCATTTGAATGTCTTTTGCTACTGTGCCATTTGTAAGTGTATTTTGTATAGAGGATATGACATAAATATTTGTTCAATAATTTAGGCCAAAAATATGAATACTCCATTTGAAGTTTTTTTTTTATTTGCATTACCTATAATTCTCAAAATGTTTTTTTCCTTATTGATTTCTCTCATTGAATTTAAAGCTCCTCTTTTATCTATGCCCTCACAAGACATTAATGCCTATTTTACAGACAAGTAATTACCCTGAGAAAGTGATATCCAAACTGCAGTCCTGATCATTTTAGAGTTCTGAAGGGTCCCTTTGAAGAAGAGATTCCAAATGAGAGCAGAAATAATCATAATGGTCTCCAGTCCTCCCTCTCCACCTCCATCTTACTTTAATCACTGCCTTTCTACTTCCATCTATATTCTATTTCTATATATATTCTATATGATTTAATTTTAACAAAGATTTTGAGGCTAAAGTCACTTCCTAGTAAAATTTTAACACACTCGACTCCAAAACTATTGTTTGTCACTCTGAAAGTGTAAACTTTTATTCTATAATTGTCTTTGGAATACCTGTACTTTGCTAAGCATGTGGAAGAATAAAAGCTCGGACACAGGGCTTACCCTTGAGAAGACTGAAGTCGAGGAGGAGAGGTAAGGGTGGCAGGTATATAATCAGCAGAGGGAATATAACACTCAGAATGGGAAAGGGTTGGGGGAGAAAGAAGAGAGAATTGGGCAAAAGGAGGCAGAAAGAAAAACAATTTAAATAAATAAATAAATGGCAAAATGTTTTGCCTGTCCTGAAACTCAAGGGGCTTTTTCAGGGAAGTGAGAGCTTGAGTCTGCAATCCTCTCAGCCTATCTCGGTTCCCTCATCTTTACCAGGGTGAACATCTTGCAGAAAACAGGTGCGTCAAGTGTTTAGATAACTTTTTGCCCAAATATGGATCCCTATTGTATTAATTATTCAATTAAGAATAAACAACATATTACAACTTTTGAAACATTTAGCTGTGCTGGATTTACTGAAGTATGGTACAATAATTAACAACTTCAGAAATGATTTTTGAGATTTTTAAGAATCTGTTTATTGTCAAATATCATTTTTACCTTATGCTCTGTCTTTTATAACATAAAATCCACTATGTCATACAATGTAAGTAGTAGTAAAGTACCACCAAATGGACCGAAATCTATTCCTAGAGGTAGCACAAAGGGTGACAATTTTATTTCGAGGTGATGAGTGGTCGTAACGGTAGCAGATTTCAGGTAGGACATGGACTAGATGTTAGAAAAGTGAAAGAAAGAAAATTTGCCTTGCAAGGGGTGTGTATGTGTGTGTGTGTGTGTGTGGTGCACATTTAAGAAAATGGAGTGGTATAGATAGCAAACAGAGAGTAGTGCAGTAGCTTATTTTGCTAGCTACACTGGGCTTCAAGTGGGAGAGAAAGTAAAACTTTTTCCCTTATAATACTTTCTCTCCTTCCTCAGATAGAAAAACGAGAATATGAGAAAAAAGAAGATAACAATTGGAAAGTAGAAATTCTCTGGAGAAGAGGTGATAAGTAGTTTAACCTTATTCTACACCAGTGATCAGAGAAAATCTTCCCAGATGGCTTGCCATGAGATTCAGGAAGTAAAGTCTCCTTTCTTAATGTATAAAAGGGTAAAGGTTTGAGTTCCATTGCACAGGTTTGAGAATGTATGACTATTGCCCAGCACTAACTTTTTACATTTAGATTTTAGAGTAGGTAGTGCTTTCCCTAACCCTTTAAAATATATTAGTCTGCATTGAACCTGCCTAGGTCAATTTAATATTTCAAATAAAGGAGTAAAACAGTAATTATGGCTTCTTGTACATAATGTAAAAAATTCCACAACAAATTTAACAGACACTTCAGTTTTCAAAGTGACACCATCACTTTTTGTGTGTGTGCCCTGGCTGGCAGTGTGATGAATGTTATTGCCAATACTGATGTAAATGGTGAACTGAACAAAATATATCATTAGATGAGGGAATCTCGAAAGTTTAATGCTATGTGTTGAAAAGAGGCTTAAAGAACAAATTTCTTCCATTGGAAAAATATGTAACATCTTCATATGACTTACACTGTCACAATCAGAGCCATACTCTCATTTTTCTTCTAAATCAGAGAATAAAACAAAATCCAATAAAAAAGAAAATTAAGCAACTGTGTCCAGAGTAGCTCTCCTCTTCAGTTCTTTGGTTAAAAAAAAAAAAATGCAAGAGACCAGGTCAAGTAAAGAAGTATACATCATTTATTGGCCTGAGGTATAGTTTTTCTTGCTAATCACATTAGTTTTCTTAATTTGATTGGATTTGATGTGTGGGGGTCAGTAATACGTTGTGAGGGATATTCCACTTGCAGAGTTTTTCGGAGTATTGGCAGGGAAAGCTGGCTTGTTCAAATCAATGACTCAGCACCATTGTGGGCAGTGAGAGCATCTCTCTTCTGTAGTTACATACACTTGGTGCTGAAGAGCTGTGTTAAGCAGGAACCTAACTTAGCAACGATCAGAAAAACTGAAAAATAGAGTCAATGTTTAAACAAGAAAGTAGGTAGCCAGAGAAGATCAACACAAATTAGTAAGAGAAAAGTCTGAGGCAATATCGGAGACGAAGAGTATTTTCTCTGTATACACATTTGTTCTTAGACAAGGGAAACAGCTTAGTATATGTAGTTTGTTGTAAGAGCAAGATTCATATAATGTCATCATAAAACAAATATATTTCCCTCATACTTGTTTTGAAATTTGTTCCCTAGGAATAAATTTATTCTGCCCCAGAATAAAATCTCTAGCTGGTTCCAAAGCTGATTTGCTCACTCTTAGACGATAAGACTTCAGGTCACTTGAGTCAAAAACGTTTTAGTTCTGTAATAGGTATTTTCAGTCCAGTATAATAATCAAAATTCTGAAATTGTTCAAAGATAAAGCTTTCCCCTTCACTCAATTAAATCTAGCACAGTCTGGAAGTAGGGGCATGCAGAAAAGGACATGCTCAACTCTTTCTGGATTTTCAGCCTTATGAAGGAGAAGGAAAGATTGGTACCCACTGCACTGGTGCTGTTTTGAGCAGCAACACTGTTCAATGAGACTGGAGTATGTTTAAAGCTGATGTTTTTCTTTTGTGGAATGTTCCATCACTGAGGTGTCCCCTGGAAGTTACTCTCACTAGGCCAGTGGTAAAAGAGAAGAAACCAGCACGCTTCTCCGTGATGGAAAAGGTTGAATTTTTCTTCTTTGTCTGTAATGTAAGTCTTATAACCCTAGGTGTTTGAGGCCAAGGGGCACAGAAAGGATTCTAGCTACCTTCTTTGAATGTCCTGAATAGGTAGTCCAGTACCTCACTTGGGGATGTGCAAGTGTTTGCCATGTATTGTCATGAGGCAAGCAGTCCCACAGGAGTACACTACAACCTGACATTTCCATCCCTCATTCTTTAGCCTCACTGAAATTCCTTTTCTGTTTCTACAAATTCTAGAAACTGTTCTCACCCCCCAGCTGCCCTTTACCTTTTTGAATCTTATTTGACAATTTGGGCCATTTGACCCTTCTCAAACTTATTCTTTTGACTTCCACACTACATTCTAATTCACCTCCCCTGCCTCGTGTGTGTGTGTGTGTGTGTGTGTGTGTATTTATTTATTCTGAAAATTTTTTTTAGATACATGAATTGGGTCCTTGTCCTATGCTTTTTTACCTTGAAATATTGCTTTATTGTTTTCAATCCACAGAAAGTGACAAATGAAATTTTTATTTAGTCTTAATCCACATTTGTGGTGGCAACTACCACATTTACATCAATAATTCTTGTGTTGCTATTGTTGAGTGATACTTCAGCATCAATTCAAATTATATTTTAGCTAGTCTTCAAACTGTGGAAACTAAAAAGCTAACTGTTACATTTAGCAGATTCCTTTATGGCTAAATATATAAAAGTGACTTAGGATCTATTAAACAAAGGTATACACACAGGATCTAAAACATACAAAGTAAATGTATTAATTTTCTATTTCTGCCATAACAAATTTTCACAAACTTAGTGGCTTGTAATACATATTTGTATTCCCAAGTGTTTGCAATAGCCGAAAGATAGAAGGAACCCAAGTATTCATTGATGTGTGAATAAACAAAAAGTAGTATGTGTACATTTAAATATAATGGAATGTACATATGTATGTATGTATGTATATATATGAATAGAAATATTATTCAGCCTTAAAAAGGAAGGAAATTCTGACACATGCTACAACATGATTGAACATTGAGGTCATTGTGCTAAGTAAAGTAAGGCAGTCATAAAAAGACAAAGACTATATGCTTCCACTTACATGAAGTATCTAAAGTAGCCATATTCACAGAGGCAGAAAGTGGAATGGTGGTTGGCATGGGCTTTGGGGAGGGGAAAATTGAAGTTGTTGTTTAATGGGTACAGAGTTTCAGTTTTGTGAGATGAACAGAGTTCTGGAGATTGGTTGCACAATGATGTGAATGTACATAACACTACTGAATTATACGTTGAAAATTGGGTAAGATAGTAAATTTAATGTTAAGTATATTTTACTGCAATTAAAAATTAAAAAAATATAAAGCATCATTCAAACACACACAATTTTCTTTTCTTCCAGTTCTATAGGTTGTAAGTCCAACATGTGTCTTTTTGGGCAAAATCAAAGTAGTAACGAGGCCATGTTTCTTGCTGGAGGCCCAACTGAAGAATCTGTCTCTTCTAGAAACAGTTTATTGAGACCTTTATATTTCTTGGTATGTCCTCTTTCCTCCATCTTTAAACCACCAAAGGTGGTTCAATTATGTTGAATCTCTCCAATTGGCTGCAGCTGAACAAAATTCTCCACTTTTAATGACCTACGTGATTAGATTGGTTTCACCTGGATAATCCAGACTCTCTCTATCTCAGGGTCTGTACTCTTAATCACAATCTGTAAATAAGCCTCCTTCACAATGTAAGGGAACGTATTCACAGGTTCCAAGGATTAGAGTCAGAAATATTTGAGGAGCCAGCACTTTACCTGCCACTGTTAAGTCAGAAGACAGTGTGGGTAATAAGCATCTGTTTTGCTTCTTCGTCAAAGATACATATAATTAGCATGACTTATCACTGTTGATGTTGACCTTGATCACCTAGCTGATATATATAGAACTTGCCATTTTTCTCCACTGTTAGTTATTTTTTCCTGTATCCATACTGTACTCTTTGGAAGAAAGTCACACTCCGTACTTAATAGGTGGGGAGTTATATGCTCCATCTCCTTGAGGGCAAAATAGCAACATGTATTACTTGAAATTCTTCTTAATGGAACATTTGTCTCTTCTCTCTCAATTATTTATTTATTAAATCATTAATTTATATTGGGTAGGACTCATGAATATTTATTTTTTAGGATATAATTCAATACTATTTTATATATTTTTTCATAAAAATTGCTCCAGCTTTGGCTATTGGAGCTCTTTCATTTGGCTCAAATGTCCCTTTGACATATTCCCAACAATTTGGTTTGTTTGTTTTGGAGCATTTTCTTTTTTTCTGTCACTACAAAATGCTCAAAGCTCATGCTACCTATTTTTCTGCCTTCCTTCTAGACTCAGCAATTTCTCCAAGAAGCATGGGTTTCTTTTGTTGGAGAAGGATATGATTTGGCTGCATCCTCACCCATAATCTCATCTTGAATTGTAATCCCCATAATCCCCATGGGTCAAGGGAGAGACCAGGTGGAAGTAGTAATAATCAAATCAGGGGGCAGTTTCTCCCACACTGTTCTCGTGATAGTGAGTGAGTTCTCACGAGATCTGATGGCTGTATCAATGTTTTGTAGTTCCTCCAGAATTCATTGTTCTTCCTGCCACCCTGTGAAGAAGGTGTCTTGCCTCCCCTGTGCCATCTGCCAGGATTGTAAGATTCTTAACTGCTCCCCAGCCATGCTGAAATGTGAGTCAATTAAACCTCTTTCCTTTATAAATTACCCAGTCTCAGGCAGTTCTTTATAGCAGTGTGAAAACGGACTAATACAGGGAATGATATTAAAAACCAAAATCTAGATGCTATGTGGATTAACTACTACTTGAATGTCGTTTCTTCTAGGTCCTCTTATCTGACACAGCAAGGGAATATATGTATGCATACATACAAGCACAACACACATTTATATAAATATTTTTGCATATCCCCACTTGTATCAATATTAAGCTAAATTTGAGTTTGTACTGATGTCTTTAACTCTAATTCATACCCACTATGTACATCTTTCTAGGCTACACTTGTTGCTTATTTGTAACCTCCCACACCAAGACTGAAAAATCTGACTCCCATCATCCATACATTTATTTTCAGTATACATATATAGAGGTATCAGAATTCTTAGCCTGTACCCTTGTGGGAAATATCTTTATCAACTGGAGTGTAGAATTTAGGTACAGCTTCTATTGCCCTTAGCCTTACACACTCTGCTCATTTTTGAAGTAATTTGTCAGCACTCTTTTCCCCTCACACATTCAATTAGATTGTTTCTTACATTTGCAATAGAGTGTTATTTTTTTGTCCCATTTTGTATTCCATCCTGGGATCCCTGCAACTATTAAATATATATATTTTCATTTCTTTTTTTTTGAGACAGAGTTTTGCTCTCCTTGCCCAGGCTGGAATGCAATGGTGCGATCTCGGCTCACTGCAACCTCAGCCTCCCAGGTTCAAGTGATTATCCTGCCTCAGCCTCCTGAGTAGCTGGGATTACAGGCATGCTCCATCACGCCCAGCTAATTTTGTACTTTTAGTAGAGATGGGGTTTCTCCATGTTGGTCCAGCTGGTCTCGGGCTCCTGACCTCAGGTGATCCACCCGCCTAGGCCTCCCAATGTGGTGGAGAGTTCTATGCTTAATGTCTTATATCCAATATTTCTGTAACATGAAGTATAGTTTTACCACCTGAAAATTTACTTGTTCTTCATCTATTCAATCGTCTTCCCCTCATACACTGCAATTGATATCTGTATGGTTACTATAGCTTTTTCTCATTCAGAATGTCATACATTTGGACATTATGTAGCATTTTAAGACTGGCTTCTTTCATTTAGCAGTATGCATTTAAGAGTCTTTCATGTTTTCTTTTTTATGACTCAATTAGCTCATTTTCTTAGTCAAAAACCTGAGTTCATTGTATGGATGTGCTGCAATTTGTTTATTCACACAAATATTCAGGAGCAGGTTTTTGTGGTGGGCATGTTTTCAAATCAGTTGGATATATACATAGGAGTACAAATCTCAGAGTGTGTGGTAAAATTGTTTAGCTGTGTAAGAAACTTGCAAACTGTTATCCAAAGTGGTTGCACCAGTATGCATTTCCATCAGCAATGAATGAGAGTTACTTTTATTCCACATCCTCACCAGCAATTGGCATTGTCAGATATTTGGATTTTAATCATTGTACTAGGTGTGTAGTGTTATGTCAGTTTTGTTTTAATTTTCAATCATCTGATGCCAAACTATGCTGAGCATCATTTTACATGTGCTTACTTGCCATCTACATATCTTCTTATTGAGATGTTTTGATCTTTTGCACATTTTAAAATGTGTTGTTTGTTTTCTTATTGTTCAGTTGTAAGACCTCTTTGCATGTATTACATACAAGTGATTTGCCATGTATATGTCTCGTAAGTATTTTCTTCTACTTCTGGTTAATATTTAATTTTTTAAGTGTCCTTCGCAGAGCAGAAATGTTTAATTTTCACTTATAAATTTTTTCTTTCATAGATCATGCTTTTTTATATATATGTAAAAATTCTTTACTAAGCCCAATGTTATCTCATTTTCTCCAACATTTTCTTTTAGAAGTTAGAGATTTTATAGTTTTACATTTTATATTTAGATCTATGATCCATTTTCAGGTTTTTGTGTGTGTGTGAAAGGTAACAGGTCTGCTACATGATGATGAACATGGTCTCTTCTTCCTCCTCCTACTCCTTTTTTTTTTTTTTTTTAATATGGGCATCTGATATGTTTCAGTACCATCTATTGAAAAGACTACCATTTTTCCATTGAATTGATTGCACTTCTTTGTTCTTTTGTATATAAATATATTCAACTAATTTTTATATAATAAAATGAATTTAAATTTAAATAATATATGTGGGGGGTGTGTGTGTGTGTGTGTGTGTGTGTGTGTGTGTGTGTATCCTCTTCCCCTAGGGTCTTGTACTCTATATAAGTGATCTATGTTTATTCTTTCAATGGTACCTTGCTGTCAGGTTTACTATAGCTTTATTGTATGCTGTAAACTCTATCCTAAAATTTTGTTTTTCTTTAGTATTGTGATGGCTATTGTAGATCTTTTTTGTTTTTTCATATAAACTTTAGAATCAGTTTGTCAACATCAACAAAATAGCTTGCTGGCATTTTGATTGGGATAGCATGGATATGTAAGTCATTCTGAAAATAATTGACACACCAATATTGAATCTTCTCTCCATTAACAAATAATGTCTCCATTTATATAGATCCTTGATTTCTTTTACTTTTTGGAGTAAAAAAAAGTGGAGCTCTTTTTGTAGTTCCACATATAGATTATTTCCTCATTTTGTTAGATCTATATCTATTTTATATTACGTTCTATTGTAAATAGTATTAATTTTAAATTTCCTCTTCCAATTGATCCTTGATAATATAGAGAAAATCAATACATTTTTGTATATTGATCTTCTGTCCTATGACTTTGGTATGCTCACTTATTAGTCCCATCAGTTTCTTGTTGCTTCTTTGGGATTTTCTGTATAGACAATCATGTCATCTGTTAAGGGTAAAATATATGAAAACAATAGCAGTAATAAATAATCAAACTGAAACATAGGGACTGATGATATATATTGATGGAAAAGATATTAAATTACTGCTTATTATATTCAATGAAATACAATGTATATTGAAAATTTAATCAGTGTCCTGGAAATGTTAAAATAAACATAATCTAATGACAATTATAAAAGTAAAGACAAACCAGAAATAAGCTAGTGGGAATGTCAGAAGAGAGTAGACACAGCTGAAAAAGAAATTAGTAAACTAGAAGTTAATTTAGTAGAAAGTGTACTGAATGAAGAATGAAGAGAATTGAAAAATCTAGGATACATGATAAAATAGACATAAAGGATACTGTGAAAATGTCCAACATATAAGGGGAAAAAAAGGAATATAGATAATAGAGCAGGCTCATTAATTAAAGATAATCATGAATAAGAATTGTATAGTCTACTAGGAATGCCATAACAAAATACAACAGATTGGGTGGGTTAAATGACAAATGTATTTTCCCAGTTCTGGAGTCTGGAAGTTCAAGATCATGGTGCTGGCAGGGTTGACGTCTCATGAGGTCTCTGTCCTTAGCTTGCACACAGCTACCTTCTTGCTGTGTCCTCAGGTAGCCCTTTCTCTGGGTGTGTGCATACATGATTCCTTTTCCTTTTCTTATAAGGACTCTAGTCCTATTGGATTAGGGTCCCATTCTTAACACTCATTTAACCTTAATTACTTCTTTAAAGACCCTATCTCCAAATATAGTCACATTGGGTGTTAGGGCTTCAACACATTGATTTTGTGAAGACACAATTCACTCCATATTAAAACTTTACAAAAGTGTTAAAAATTATACTATAACTTCAAGAAATTGTGTATAAATACTCAATAACATGGTCATTTAAATTCATCTACAATATTAATATCATTATTAATGTATAATAATGATATTAAGTATAAATAAGTGAAGTCATCAGTGAAAAGACAATGATTGCTAGCTGTATGTAAAATAGAAATCAAACAATATACTACTTATAAACAAGTAATTTAAAATAGAAGTTTACAGAAAGTGTAGAAAATGGAAAATAATATACTTAAAAATACCAACCAAAAGAAAGCCCATGAAACTGTGTTGAGAGAATTCAAGAAACGAATGTAAGTACATCACATATAAAGGTGACACTTCATCTTGATGAAGAATTAAATCCATAGATTTTAAAGCTATTAAAATCTTTATATAATTTATAATATAGTATTAAAATGTATATAAAAATTATAGATCTAAATGGAAAAATAGACAAATTCACAACTGTAATGGAATATTTTAATTACTGATAGAATAGTAGATATATATTTAGAAACAATATATAAACTTTGAACAGCATCATTAATAAATTAATTTACGTATATAGAATTCTGTGTCCAACAACAGCAGAGTGCACACTCTTTTCAAACACATATGGGCTTTTCACAGAAATGACTACATGTTAGCATATTTCAATCATTTTTAAAATACTGAATTTATACAGAGTATATTCTCTAAATGCATTACCTTTAATCTAGAAACACATTTCCTATGAGTTTAGAAATAAAGAAATATATGTCTAAATAACACATGGATCAAAAAGTTATCACAGTGGCAATTTGAAAATGCTTGGAGTCAAATAATAATGAAAATACAACAAATCAAACCTCTGAGCTCAACTAAATCCATCCTTAGAGAAACACTATTGCTCTAATTAAATATTTTAGGCATAAATAAATACTAAAAACAAATGGGCTCTCTGAGGAAAACAAAAAAATACTGACTATGCAAGGAATGTAGAAGAACAAAAATAATGAAAATTAGAATTAATAAAATACAACACAAATATGCAATAAAAGTAAAAGACTAGTCAAAAAAGGGATAAGAAACAAATAATTGGATTTAGGAATGACAAGAGGAACATTGCTCCAAATTCTATAGCATTTTGTTTTAATTATTCAAACAAATCAACAGTTTTAAGTGAATAAACTACAAAGTATACATGATATGGGCAAATCAAAGGCATGTTAAAGTTTATGAAACTGGCTCAAAAAGGGATAGGAAATCTTCATGTACCTATAACTATTAAATAAATTAAATTAGTTATTAATAAAGCAATCTCACCATGCTATCTATAAGCCTGTATAGGTTCACTAGCAAATTCAAACAAAAATGTATTATTAAAAATTGTAATTTTTGCCAAACTCTTCCAGAAAATTTGTTAAAAATAATTGGAAATCATCATTCTCAGTAAACTATCACAAGAACAAAAAACCAAACACTGCATATTCTCACTCATAAGTGGGAATTGAACAATGAGAACACATGGACACAGGAAGGGGAACATCACACTCTGGGGACTGTTGTGGGGTGGGGGGAGGGGGAGGGATAGCTTTAGGAGATATACCTAATGCTAATTGACGAGTTAATGGGTGCAGCACAACAGCATGGCTCATGTATACATATGTAACTAACCTGCACATTGTGCACATGTACCCTAAAACTTACAGTATAATAATAATAAAATAAAATAAAATAAAATAAAAAGAAATTTAATAAAGGATTCCAGAAAACTGTTTATTATTAGAAAACATTTTAAGAAAGGAAGATTATAAACTAATACTATTAACAAGCATGGACATACAGATCTTAAAATATTACAAAATCAAATTCAGAAAAGATAATATATAGGGTAATGTATGATGAAAAGTTTGAATTTATTTCAATAGCATAAGGTCAGCATGATGTTAGAAAATCATGTAATATAATTCATCACATTATATATAGGAAATAATATCTAGTAATTTTAATCGTTGCAGAAAGGCTTATTTTTGATAAAAATAAGCATATATGATGTTTTAAAAACTGTAAAACAGAATACAAGATAATGTCATTAATCTGATAAAGTGTATCTACATAAATTACAAATATCCCTATTATGTTTAATAATAACATCTTGAAAACTTTTCTTTTAAAATTGGAAATAAAACAATTTGACTCTCTCACCACTTCTATTTAACATTGAATTGGCATCACCAATCAGTAGAACAGGCAAGAAAAATAAAGGGTATGTATTAGAAGGGAATAAATACAAGATTTATTATTTGCAGATATTACGACTATACATATTAAAAAATCAAAATAATCTGACAAATTATTGAAAGGAATAAATGAGATTAGCATGTTTCTCAGGAAAAAGTTGAATATGTCAATCATTTGTGTTACCATGCACAAATAAAAATTGTTAGAAATTTTTTAAACAAAATACCATTTATAATTACATCAAATGCCATCAAATGTATAGAATCAAATCTAACAAAATTTTTGCAAGACTTCTATGCAAAGACATATAAAACAGTGGAAAGAAGAAAACCTAAATAAGTAGGTGAACATTAACTATAAAGATATCAATTATCCTCATTCATCTATTCATACAATGTGATACAAATCAAAATCTCAACAGATTTTATTGAAGAGATTCAAAAATTAATTCTACAACTTATACAAAAATATAAAGAGTCAATCATAGTGAAGATTCTTAAAGAACTAGGTCAGACTATTGGTTCTATTGGATGTCAAAACTTGCTGGAAAACATAGAAATGCCTAGTCGACTAGAATAGAACAATTAGGCAATGAGAGAGAATCTGACCCATTCATGTATAAGAGTTGATTTATAACAAAGTCATCACTTCAGGACAGTGATGAAACATTCTTTTAATAAATGTCGCTAGAAACATTGTATTTTCATGTGGAAAAAAAAGAGACTTATCACATATAGTATACCCAGATTTCAATGTCAGTTGCATTGTAGACATTTGTGAAAGAGTAAACAATAAAATCCGTAGGTGATAATAGAGGAAAATGTAATGAACTATGAAAGAGAAAGAATCCTCAAATGTGAGAGCAAGGGTATTTACCCTTAAAGAAAGATAGCTTATTTGAACAACATTAAAACTAAAAACTTGTTTCATTAAAAACACCAATAAGTGAGAGAAATGGCAAGCCAGAGAGTAAAAGATAGATACAAAACATGTGATTAATAACACACATTTTAAAAACATTAAAACATCAAATTTGACAAAATGAAAAAGAAATTTAAATATTAAGTTCAATAGATACAAAATCCAATGTCTGGTGACTACATAAATAGCTGCTCAATGTTATTCATAATCTAGAAAATACAAAATAAAACCCAAATGAGAATCTACTATATAGATGAGTAAACTTAAATACTGATAGCACTAAGTGTTTGTGACAGTGTAGCAGTGGAAATAATCATATACTGCTGATGGGAGTGGATACAAGTACAACTAATTTGGATTATAGTTTGGCATCATCTAGCAAAAATCAGGTTCCACGTATCCTATGAGAAAGTAACTATACTCCTGGAAATTAACAAAAATGAAATTATTATATATTTTCTAAGTGGCATAATAAGAACATTCATAATATTTTTGTATTATACCCCAAACAGGAAACAAAATAATGGTCAACAGAGAATCAGATATATTCATAAACTATGGTATTTTCACCATCTAATACTATAATAAAAATGAAAATATTTCTACCAAACACAACAAGGTGAATGAATGTCACAACACATTTTAAAAAATTGTACTTTGTAATGGACACAGTATGCTACAGTGTGATGTTTCAATACATATGCATATTGCATAATGATCACATCAGGGTAGTCAGCATGTCCACCAAGTTAAAGGTTAAACCTTAAGCATTTCTTTGTGGTGATAACTTTCCATATCCTCTTCTCTAGCTATATTGAAATATACAATACATTGTTATTAGTTGTGTTTACTCTACTACATAATAAAACCCAAAAACTTATTTCTATCTAACTATACCTTTGTACTTGTTGATCAACATCTCCCTATTCGAACCACTGGCCTCTGGTAACCACTATGCTTTCTCTACTTTTATGAGATCAACTTTCCAAATATGAATTCACATATGATGCCGCATATGAATGAGTTTATGTAGTATTCATCTTTTTCTGTTGTTTATTTTATTTAACATAATGTCCTCTAAGTGCATCCATGTTACCCTAAATAACAGGATTGATTGTATTTTGATAGCTAATAAATGGAAATATTTCATTGTGTAGATATACCACATTTTCTTTATACATGCATCTGTTGGTAGACATTTAGGTTGATTCTATATCTTGGCTATTGTGAGTAATGCTGTGACAAGCATATCTCTTTGATATACTGATTTCAATACTTTTGGGTATATACCCTGTAATGAGATTGCTGGATTATGTATTTAATAGTAGTTCTATTTTTAATTTTTTGAGGAACCTCAATACTCCTTTCCATAATGACTGTACTAATTTACATTCCCACTACTGTTGTGTAAGAGTTCCCCTTTCTCCATATTCTCACCAGTATTTACAACACATTTTTTTAAGGAAAGAGAATAAAGTCAAAGGATTCTATTTATTTAGTGTCAAAAATCAACAGCATTAATTTTGATACGTGATAAGTGTGTGTATAAGTGTAGAAAACAGAAAATAACTAAGTGGTTGCCATAAAGTTCAGGATAGTAATTGTATTTACAGGATACAGAGGACGTCATGATTTGGAAAGGATTTGAGGAGAGGAGTGCTGAAAATGTTCTATTTTTTGACCTCGGTGAAAATCATACAAGTCTCACTCTGGGATGACTTATCAATTTCTACATTTACATTTTATAAACTTTTCTACATGCGTAGTACATTTCACATTAAAAACAATTTAGGTACTTGAATAAAACTGGGAATTTCCAGTATGAGTAAATGTCAGAAATGAAGAAACTATAGAAAATACCTAGGTAAATTTGGGCAAAACAGAATTTCAAAAAATAAAAATGATGATGTAATTATAAGTTTAGGCATAGCTGCAATAAAACTAAAATATGGGAAAAAAGATCCTGAGGAATCTATCTCGAATGCAGTGCAGAGTAAGATAGGCACAGAAACCATGCAAAAGAGATTAGGAACTATGGAGGATACTATGAAAAGAAGAGGAGAAAGAAAATAGGAAAGAAGTATTATCAGAGAAGTTTCCAGAACTAATAGATGAAAGACAGTAATCCTCCAATTCAGAAATCCCAGTGAATCCCAAGTCATTAAATAGAAAAGAATTCATATGCAGGGAATATGACCACTACAGAAAAATCCTAAAAGTGTCAAAAATTTAAGAGATCTTTCTAGATTAGATATAGATATGGATCTAGATAGATATACAATTAGACTGACAATTATAATTTCTTAAAGGCTAAAATTGTTTCACTGTACAAGTTGCTAAGATATATGATAAAATTATATAGAAATGAATGCCAATAATATGTAAAATTCAGTATAGTCATTTTCTCAAAAGTCAGAGAGGCAATGGATTGAGGTGTGTCAATAGGGACTACAAAGATAATGGTTATGACTTATTACATATATATGTACACGTGTGTGTGGGTGTGTGTTTGGGGGCACGTGGTGTGTTTTTTTTTTTAATTTCAATAGCTTTTGGGGTACAAGTGGTTTTTGGTTACATGGATAAATTGTGTAATGGTGAAGTCTGAGATTTTAGTGCACCCATCATCTGAATAGCGAATGTTGTACTCAATAAGTAGTTTTCATCCCTCATCCCCTTCCCACCCTCCCCACTTTTGAGTCTCCAAAGTCCATTACATCACTCTGTATGTCTTTGCATATTCATAGCTTAACTCCCATTTACAGATAAGAACACACAGTATTTGTTTTTCCATTTCTGAGTTATTTCACTTGGAATAATGGCCTCCAACTACATCCAAGATGCTGCAAAATACATTATTTAATTCTTTTTTATGTCTGAGTAGTATTCCATGACACACTATACCACATTTTCTTTATCCACTCATCAGTTGATGGGTGCTTAGGTGCGTCCCATATCTTTGCAATTGTGAATTGTGCTGTGATAAACATTCACATACAGTTGTCTTTTTTTATATAATGACATATTTTTCTTTGGGTATACAATGCAGTAATGAGATTGCTGGATAGAATGGTAGACATATTTTTAGTTCTTTAAGAAATCTCCATACTTTTTCCGTAGAGATTGTACTAATTTATATTCCCAACAGCAGTGTATAAGAATTCTCTTTTTACCATATCCATGCCAACATCTATTGTTTTTTAACCTTCAATCAGGGACGAATCTGGCTGGAGTAAGGTGGTATCTTACTGTGGTTTTAATTTGATTTACCCTGATGATTAGTGATGTTGAGCATTTTCATATGTTTGTTGGTCATTTATTTATCTTCTTTTGAGAAATGTCTATTCGTGTCATTTGCCCATTTCTGATGAGATTTTTGTTTTTCTCTTGCTGATTTGTTTGAGTTCCTTGTAGATCCTGGATAGTAGTCCTTTGTGGATGTACAGTTTACAAATATTTTCTTTCTGTTTTTAATTTTTTAATTTTTGTGGGTACATAGTACATGCATATATTTATGGGGTACATGAGATGTTTTGATACAGGCATGCAACGCGTAATAATCACATCATGGAAGATGGGGTATCTATCCCTGCAAGGATTTATCTTTTGTGTTACAAGCAATCCAATTATACTTTTAGTTATTTTAAAATGTACAATTAAAATATTATCAACTAAAGTCACCCTGTTCTATCAAATACTAGACCTCATTCATTCATTCTATCTTTTTTACCCATTAATCATCTCTGCCTCCTTCCCTCCCCAGCCCCCACTACCTTTCCTAGCATCTGGTAACCATCCTTCTACTCTCACTCTCCATAGGTTTGATTATTTTGATTTAAGTCCCACAAATATGTGAGAATGCATGATGTTTGTGTTTCTGTGCCTGGCTTATTTCACTTAACATAGCGACCTCCTATTCCATCCATGTTGTTGCAAATGACTGAATTTTATTCTTTATTTATGGGTGAATAGTACACCATTGTATATAAGTACCACACTTTCTTTATCCAATTCTCTGTTGATGAACACTTAGGTTGCTCCCAAATCTTGGCTATTGTGAGCAGAGCTGCAACAAACAAGGAAATGCATATAACTCTTGGGCATATTGATTTTCTCTCTTTTAGGAATGTACCCAGCAGTGGGATACTCAGATCATATGATAGTTCTGTTTTTAATTTTTGGAGAAACTTCCAAATTGTTCTCCATAGTGGTTGTACTAAATTACATTCCCACCAACAGTGTGGTAGTGTTCCCTTTCTCCACATCCTTGCCAGCATTTGTTAGTTTGCAAATATTTTTCTCCCATTTTGTGGGGTTTTTGTTTACTCTGATGATGACTTCTTTTGCTGTGTAGAAACTTTTTAGTTCAATTAAGTCCCAATTATTTATTTCTATTTTTGTTGCATTTGTTTTTGGGGTCTTAGTCATAAATTCTTTGCCTAGATCAATGGTTCAGAAGAGTTTTCCTAGGTGTTCTGATGTTTTTGTGGGTTTAGATCTTGGATTTAAGTCTTTGTTCTATCTTGAGTTGATTTTTGTATACAGTGAGAGGTGGTGATCCAGCTTCATTCTTCTACATATGGCTATCCAGTTTACCCAGCACCATTTATTTAATCGGGTGTCCTTTCCCCAATTTGTGTTTTTGTATGCTTTGTTGAAGATCAGTTGGTTGTAAGTATTTGACTTTATTTCTAGATTCTCTGTCCTGTTCCATTGGTCTATATATCTACTTTTATACCAGTACCATGCTGTTTTGGTAACTATATGATTGTAACATAATTTGAAGTCCGGTAATATGATGCCTCCAGATTTTTTTTCCTTAGAATTATTTTGGCTATTTGGGCTCTTTGTTGTTTCCATATAAATTTTAGGATTATTTATTCTAATTCAGTGAAAAATGCTTTTGGCATTTTGATAAAAATTGCATAGAATCTGTAGATAATTTCAGACATATGGTCTTTTTCATGATATTGATTCTTCCAATCCATGGGTATGGGATATATTTTCATTCTTTTGCATCATCTGTGATTTCTTTCAGCAGTGTTTGGTAGTTCTTGTAGAGATCTTTCACCTCCTTGGTTAAGTATATTTTTGTTTGTTTGTTTGTTTGTTTGTTTGTCTCTTTGCTTTTTCTTGTAACTTTTGTAAAAGAGATTGAGTCCTTGATTTGATTCTCAGCTTTGACACTGTTGGTGTATAGGGTTTTTTAGGTATATAATCAAATCATCAGCAAGTAGAGACAGTTTGACTTCTTTTCCAATTTGGATGCCTCTTATCCCTTTCTCTTGTCTGATTCCTCTGGCTAGGACTTCCTGATCAATTTTTTAACCTGAATGCATACACGGACATTTATTTCATTGTTGTATTGACCCTCAAATGTATTTTAGAATTATTCTCTTGTATACATTCAACAACTAATTAAAAAGAAGTATCATCTTGTCTAGTGCCTTCATTTTAAAGAGTTTGGTGCTATGAAACATAATTTTAAAAAGCAGATTTGTGACAGTCTCAGATATGAGCTCAGGTATTCTGACTTGAAGGTCAACAGTGATAACATACAATGGTGTCTTTTAAAATGCAGCCTTCAATCTAAATTATCTAGAAAAGTAGAAGATCGTTGTTATTTAATGATTTCAGTGGAGCTTGTCTTTTCTCAATTATCAAAGTTAAACATCAAAGAAGGAACAAAAATGACACCAGTAGTAATTAGAAGCTTTTCTTGAGGGAATATAGTAAGAAATCAATTAAGGTATTTTTAAAATTAGAAGTGATCTGAACTATTCACAGCAAAAGTCATTGTTACCACAGACACAGAAAGCAAATTATAAGTGATTGTATAATGACACATAAGCTTAGTAATAATTTAACCAATGAATATTTCCTAGATGAGTTAAATAGACAGGGGAGAGTAGATATACTCTTTATCTTCAGGAACTTTTTTACATTCTGGTCATCTCTTTTCTGTAAAGTGCCTATATCAACAAAATTAGTGTTTTTTTCCTTTATATCTTATTTACATGAAATTTTTTTAAAAAATTAAGCAATTCCCCAATTGTTCCCTTTTCTATCCTATAGTGTTCATGGACTATTATACTATACCAATGAAGGAAATAATTTTTCTTACAACAGCTAAAAGGCATATATTTTTAAGAAGTTTATAAGCAGAAAAGAGGTAAATGTCATAGGGGACAATTATTCAGAAGAAGAGAGGAAAAAAGGCAGGTATGGACAAAATATTATCTATTCTGGAATGTGCAAGAGAACATGGTGGTTTTTCTTTTCAATATATTAAGGAGACTAATCAGAAAAATTAGTCAACCCAAGGCAGCGGACAACAGGGTTTAAGAGAAATTGATAATACTAGAAACTCAGGAGGCATTTCTGGAACTTGCTCATCCAAATTCAGAGTTGAACAAATGAGGTAAACTATCTTTATATATAAGATGTATTTATTTGTTAGGATAGATGTTCAGTTGCCATACTGATGAGGCCAAAATATACTGCAGCATTAGTAAGACAGCAATTTGTTTCCCTCTCATGTGGTCTAGACCACATTGTCATTTAGGGACAAAAAAAAAAAAATTCAGCCATTTGACTGCTAAGCTATTAACTAGGATGTTATTTTATTTATTTATTTATTTATTTATTTATTTATTTATTTATTTATTTATTTATTTATTTTTGGTGATGGAGTCTTGCCCTATTGCCCAGGCTGGAGTGCAGTGGTGTGATCTTGGCTCACTGCAACTTCCACTTCCCATACTCAAGCGATTCTCCTGCCTCAGCCTCCTGAGTAGCTGGGATTACAGGCGCATGCCACCACACCCAGCTAATTTTTGTATTTTTAGTAGAGATTAGGTTTCACCATGTTGGCCAAGCTGGTCTCAAACTCCTGACCTTGTAATCCACCCACCTTGGCCTTCCAAAGTGCTGGGATTATAAGCGTGAGCCACCACACCTAGCCAGGATGTTATTTCTTAATCTGTGTGGTAAAAGCTGGTATGTTGCCAAGTCCAAGACTCAGCCTATACAAAGATGAAAAGCAAGAAAGGTTTTTAAGAATACCTGCAGATTATACCTGTATTTTCTGCTCCAGATCATCTGTAGACACTTAGACTCACAGCCAGCTCCAAGGAATACTAGGAATAGGAAATGTAGAATTTTGCTATGTGCCAAATACTAAGGCTTTAACATAGGGTATACATTACTATTGGAAAAGAGGAGAACTTTGTGTGGAAGGAATTCAGATAGGAGCAATTGCCTCACAGGGCCAGTGAGTTAAGAGGAATGTGACCTTGAATCCTGTATGCTTATTTTCCTGATTAGAATCCTACGTACATTTCTCACTGTGTTTGTTAGCATACCTAACTTTAGTGCAGTTATGATCACAAAATCTCCATGGTTTATCACAACTAAACTTTGTGTCTACTTCACTGACCAGTGCAAATTAACAGGGCAGGGCATGGGTGGTGGTTCTGCTCCATCTAGTCATTCTGGAGTATAGGTTTCTATCAAGCAACTCTGTCTAACACTAGACTCCAGGAGTCTTCAGTTAAATCTTCTATCTTGCAGCTGAAATTAAGTTTGGAGGATTGCATAATCATTTTGTGTATTAGCTGTAGATATGGTATACATCATGTCCATTGGTGTTTCACTGGCCAGCACTCAGTCACATGGTTACACCTGTAAGGGGTCCTGAAAATGTAGTCTGTGGTACCCAGGATGAAATCAGAAACAATTTGCTGATCAGCCACCAGATTTGCTATATGTAGTATACTCTAGTACATATTATTAAAATTATACTAATGATGCAGAGCTGCAATATAATATTCTGCTTGTGATGTTAAAATTAAATTAATTCCAATTTATACCAAAGTACATTTTAAACTATTAATTATACTACTTGTCTTTCACAGCTACTATCATTATTTTTAAAACATTCTTATTCTTAGAATAGATATTTATTCTTATAATAGATGCATAAGAAAGGATGGCTATAATAGATGCATAAGAAATGATGCCTATCTATATTTAAATATAGATATCTTAGGAGAGCAAAAACATTTTTGTGAAATGTAGCACAAAGAAAATGAATTTCTAAGTTTCTATCACCAATAATATGCAGTGAAAATAACTTTTGTTTCATGGTGCTCATGATTTTCTTTTCTCTATTAAATAATCAAAGGTTTTTACAAAAGCAATATAGCCAAGAAGTATTTATTCCATTTAAAATACTCAAGATAGGGTTAACGTTACAAAATATATATTTTTTATCAAATATTTCCACCAAATACGATTCCACAAGATACTACTTTATCTTTACTATTTAACTTAATAGAAACTTTGATGATAAATGTCTCTCTGAAAGTGTTCCTTTAATAATTATTAATTTTGCATATACTTAACAATGAGGTCCCCAAATGGTAAAACAAAAGCCATTAGAATATGCAAAGTAATACAGATGAAGAAAATAAACTATATGATTGATTGCTGAAATATAAGCTAAAGTATGGTTATCCTATTTTCTGGGCCTCCAAATGAACATCAGAACAAAACATAGTTGCAATAACTTTGCTGCATTTCTTCCTTATAGAAAACTTGTTGTTTCCCCTTGAATTGATGTACAATATTTACTTTTGTTGCTGACTGCAGCAGTTTGTTCCATCTCATTAATTCAAGGAATAAGAAACATCAAGGAACATCAGGAACATCATTAATCTGAAGACCATTTCTGCCCATGCCTAAGCGAAGCTATTAAAGATATTTCAAGATCCAACTAAAATAGTTATTAAAAAGCCTAACCACTATGTCTCAATTTATTTTCCAAGATAATTGTAACATCTTTGTCTTGGATCATGGGCTGATACATGTCTTTGGGTTTCATTTGCTATATTATTTTCACAGCAAGGTAAAGGGAAAATTTAAATCACAATCAAAAACACTTAAAAAATTCAAGCTAAGTTTTAGAATCCTCTAATAGATCATAATATAGTCCTGGTAGAAGGCATGCTTTATTTGGCATCATTAGGCAACAGGTTTCGTCTTTCTGTCTTGTCTAGTATATGCTAAGCAGAAAATTCAATTATTTTTCCATATTATTTTTTAAAAATAATTATATATTAACATGACTAAGAAATGCAACAGTACACTACAAGTTATATATGTGAGCGAATAACACATACTTTAAAAAATTATTTTTATAATTGACCAATAAAAATGTATATATTTATGCTGTATTACACGTTTTGAAATCTATGTAAATTGTGAAATGTCTAAATCAAGCTATTAACATGTGCATTACTTCACATACTTATTTTTTTGTTGTGGTGACATTTGAAATCTATTCTTTCAGGAAGTTTTAAGTATACTATACATTGTTACTCATTACAGTCACCATATGTAGAATAGATCTCTTAAGCTTATTCTTCTTAACTGAATTTTTTTTACCCTTTGTCCAATGTCACCCTGATACCCCCAGCAACTCCCTTGAGCCCCTGGTAAGCTCCATTCTACTCTCTCCTTCCACAAGTTTCACTTTTTAGATTGAATATATGTGAGATCCAGGGATATTTGTCTTCCTGTGTCTGGCTTATTTCACTTAATATATTCCAGGTTCACACATGTTGTTGTCAGTGACAGAATTTCCATACTACATTTTTTTTATCCATTTATCTGTTTGTGAGCATTTGGGTTGATTTCATAACTTGGCTATCGTGAATTGTGCTATGATAATCATAGGAGTGCAGATATATCTTTGACATATTGATTTTATATCCTTTGAGTGTATACCCAATAGTGAAATTGCTGGATCATAGATAGTTTTATTTTTTTTTCTGTCCAGAGTGATGATTAGTTTAATTTTAAATGGTAGCACAGGAAGATACACACATGCTCATGCACACACACACACATACACAAACACACATTTATTTGTTAAATTTTCAGATGTGAACAGGGTTAAAAATAACTAGTTCTAACATAGTGGCCCCTTTTTCCTGTTTTTGGAGTTCATTGATATTCGGGCTAAATATATTCTTTTTTTTTGTAGTTAGAAATTTCAGTAACTTTTTTCTATTTTTTTCTACATTTTTATATGTGACTCAAGGTACAAGAATGGCTCAGGCTTTGAGACCAATCTGGGCAACATAGTGAGACCCTGTCTTAGCAAAAACTAGAAACCATTAGCTGACCAAAGTGGCACATGCTTGTATTCTTAGTCACTCAGGAGGCTGGGGTGGGAAGGCCACTTGACCAGGAGGTCAAGGCCACAGTGAGCCATTATCTTGCTACTGCACTCCAGCCTGGGTGACAGAGCAAGACCCTGTCTCAAAAAAATAAAAATAAAATAAAAAAATTGGTAAGATAGTAAATTGATGTTAAGTATATTTTACTACAATTAAAAATTAAAAAATATAAAGCATCATTCAAACACACACAATTTTCTTTTCTTACATTTCTATAGGTTGTAAGTCCAACATGTGTGACCTTTTCCAAGTTCAGACTCTTGCAATGGAAATACTTACACTTCTATCGAGTCCTTGTATTTTCTGATTGTTGCAAGATTTGCATGACTCTTGTATTTGATCTGCACCACTGTGGAAATGATGAAGAAACTGTCGGTGTTAGTGACTGCTGGGAAACTTTGCCTGCAGGCTATGGTATGAAAGGACAGGAATAGGAGTAAGATAGAAGTCCTCTGAAAAAAAAAATAACAATTGAAAAGTGAGGGCAGAGACGCCAGTATTTGGCAGCAGATCCCACTAGTTTAGTATTTATAACCCAATCTGCTGGAGTTTATGAGGTAGAAGAGTGAAAAATGTGAGACTCTGATTATGGCTAAAACAAAAGACGAATGTCTCATCTGATTTACAAGACTTATAGGCCAATAAAGCCAATGTAAGAAATATCATCCTTTAAAAACGAATAAATGTTCATGTATGAGTTTGATCTCTAAACATGATCTTTTCTGAGAAATAAATTTGAAATTTTCAGCCACTTGTGTTTGCTTACATTCTCTACAATATATTTACTTGATGTTGGGAGGTGTAAGATAATCATAATACTAGTCATCAAATCTAATGGATGTTTGATGTTGAAAGGCAACTTCACTTGGCACTGACACAATACTGAAGAGATGACTGGAAAATAGATACCATATTACTCCTGTCACATACTCTTTCGAAATGTAAAGTTTATTTTGCACATTTCCCAGTATTGATTCTAAAACTGAGAGTTATTGTCCCTTGCCTTATATAGAGAATGATTGATTGAAGTATGAAATAAAAATGGGGTGACTTGGAAATTTTATAATCATTTCCATGTTTCCATTTTAAAAATTTAATTATATAAACTTACAATTAAGCAAATTATAGAAAAAACAAGGAAAATATTTAAAACTCATTTTTCCTAATTATTTAACTATATTTTACTATCACATATGGTCTTGACGTTATATACATTTATTTTGTCAATATGGTAAAAATCCTGTACTACAAGGGCTGAGCATGGTGGCTCTCGCCTGTAATCCCAGCACTTTGGGAGGCTGAGGTGGGCAGATCATGATGTCAGGAGATCAAGACCATCCTGGCCAAGATGGTGAAACTCCGTCTCTACTGAAAAAATACAAAAATTAGCCAAGTGTGGCGGTGCGCACCTGTAGTCCCGGCTACTCGGGAGGCTGAGGCAGGAGAATTGCTTTAACCCAGGAGGTGGAGGCTGCAGTGAGCCGAGATTGTGCCACTGCACTCTAGCCTGGGTGACAGAACCAGACTCCATCTCAAAAAAAAAAAAAAAAAAAAAAAATCCTGTACTACATATTACATAATTGTGTTACTTCACATCTCAACATTCCATTCAGAGATGTCATGTTGGTGGTATATAACTGGCCATTGCAAGACTGTTTAAAGCATGCAAATTGTCAAATGCTGCGAATCAGTTACTGATTTATTGCTTTCTTAATTGTCTCTTGGTTTAAGAAAGTGATGGATAAAATGATGGAGAAAACAGTAATGCAGCTAGAACTATAGCTGCATTGAAGATAACACAAAAAATGAGGAAATTTTCTACTAGCATTCAAAAAGGGTTACTGACGTATCAAAGAAGGAACTCACATCATTGACTAATAAGAGAAGTTCTGACATGTTTTCATGGTTTTACTTTTGTCTTGTCATTAACATAGACAAAAATACCAACCAGCATTCTTGTCAAAAATGCACTTGTTTGTCAATGAGATGAGAGGCTAGTAAGTTGAGTTGGATAGTGATTAAACATTTATTCTTAGCCTGAATTTGAGACATTACTGTTTGTAATATAAATATTAAACAGAGGAATTTGGGAGAAATAGCAATTCAATCTGAAGTTATAAAGTTATGGAATTTTCAATAAAGAATAATGTGGGCTGGGCATGGATCACCACTGTAATCCTAGCACTTTGGGAGGCTTAAGGAGGAGGATTGCTTGAGTCCAGAAGTTTTTGACCAGCCTGGGGGCAACATAGGAACACTCCCATCTCTACAAAAAAAATTAAAAAATTAGCCGGGCATGATGGTGTGTGGCTGTAGTTCCAGCTACTCAGGAGACTGATGTGGGAGGATAGCTTGAGCCTGGGAGACTCAGGTTGCAGTGAACCATGATGGTGCCACTGCACTCAGGCCGGGGCAACTGAGCGAGACTCAGTCTCTAAAAAAAAGAAAAGGAAGAATGCATGTTTTATTATTGTTTGTAAACTGTGTTACAAGACTTTTAGATTAGTGAACTTCATAATAAATGAATATGTGTGTATTAATATTATTATACTTTATAATATTATATATATTATATATATATAATATATATATAATATTAATATAATAATATTAATATTATTCCAAAGTTATGAATAAAAGAATGGCAAGATCTGGCTAATACCTTAAAATACTAATTTTCTGCTACTGCATTGAGAAAAATAGACTTATGTTTATCATCTAGCATTAATTGTTTCTTTATTTTATTTTGAGGCATATATGACTCAAAAAAAAAAAAGAACACATTTGCTTGCCAGTTCTTGTGGTGAGCTGTGCCCATATGATTAAATTCTGACCAATGGGTGGAAGTAAAGGGCACACCATTCAGATTGTGACCTTTGAAAGGAGTAGTATGTGTTTCTATTTCTGTTTTACAGATGCAGAAACTGAGCTAGGTGTGTGTAAGTAACTTGCCATATGTTATGCAATCAGTAAACAACAAACGTGATTTCAAACTTAGGTGGCCTCCCTCTAGAATTTGTGCTCGATGGCACTATAAAATAGTGCCTTATAGTGTGTAGGGATTTTTTAACACCTATATGTGTGAGAGGGTGGTTTGAAATTGGTTGAGGATTGAAATGTAAAGTACATATTTTAAGCAGTCTATACATGTTGTATGAAAAATGAAGATGGGTGAAGTAGACAGACAGATTAATGACTTGTTCTATGGATCAGGTACTGATGCAAAATATGTAGAATTCTTTGCCTTACCTTATCCTTCAGCGTGTGCATGTGTTTGTGTCTATGTGTTTGTATACATAGATACACACATATTCACATATATGTATATGCATATGTACATTGTATATGTGTACATCTATGTATTGGTGATAAACTTGAAAATTTCAAAAATACATATGCCTAAATGAATATTTTTCTGCCTATGCTTAATTTATGTAATTCTTATTCAGCATTCTTGAAACTACTTGTCTAAGTCTTAAGAATGTTATAATTCAAAATTACAAGAAAATAACTTAGTTGGCTTTGTTTCCGGAAAATTATAAAGACATGCTTGGAACTATTAAGTGATTTAAAAACTACCAGAATTCACAGCTATTTTCCCATAAAACATAAAGAATTAGAAGCAAAAGTGGATCTTGCCTTTTTGAATGATAAATAAGAGCCTCTGAATTCCAAGTCCTTTACATTTGCTTTCTGTAGGCTCAGCATAATCACTGCCAACACTGTGAAAATATGAAATAGTTCAAGAAACTTTATATAAAAACCTGTCAATAATTTAATTTGTAGATAAGATGAAACCAGGAGAGGAGCAAAAATTGACAAGATTTCTGAAAGAACACTATATGGTTATGAAATGCCAAACTCTAAAACTTAAAAAGCATGTTAGCAGAGTTTTAAAGTTACTATAGCTATCATACTTTAATTTATTTTAATGTGTACCTCTCTGTTGCCACAAATGACTTCAATTGGTAGACAGAGTTTGACAAGCCTATTTCAGCATCAGAACAGCAATGAAGAATAGCTTATGTCAAAGAGAGAGTTATCGAAGCACCCTCTTTTGTAAAACTTCAAATTGGATGAGAAATTTTAGGGAAGAAGAGTTCAATATTTCTCCAAAGCACTGAAGCTGTTTTTATAGAATCATTGAAAAAGTAGAGCATAGACCCTGTGAAATATAGCAATGGTAAAATGTGTGAATTCCTATGAAAAGGGGAAAGCACTTTTTGCAAGATAGAGCTGTTATGGTGTAGAGTTTTATAAAGTTGCTTCTATAGTCAGATCTCACTAAAATTATATATTGGTCCCTTAATCGTCACGAGAGATCTGACAAATTGCTTAAAATCTCTTAGCAATTTATCTGGGTAATTTTAAGAATTAAAACAAATTCCAGGTAAAATATTTAACAGGGTTTTAAACACATAGTAGAAGAACCTCAGTGAAATGATGAACTACAATGTAATGGTGACATTCGGATTAGTTAAATTCGATGTGATAGAGTTGAACTGTTGTAGTCGAAATAATATTTGTGAGTTTACTAAGAAATAAAGAAGTTCTGAAGGAAACAGTAGTGGTCAAAGATTTTAAAACACCCAGTAATAGAAGGCACACTTTATTTCAGGATGCCATTTAGGTTCAAATATAGAGTTTTCTAAAGATTCAAAAGCCAATTACCTTACTAATTACTGCAGTAGGATTATCAAGTATACTTTCTAGATATTATTAAATTATTATTGTTCAAATATAGAGTTTTCTAAAGATTCAAAAGCCAATTACCTTAGTAATTACTACAGGAGGATTATCAAATATATTTTCCAGATATTTATTATTAAATGGCCCAGATAAGCAAAAATGGCTATGAAATAAGTTTAGTGTTATATACAGGTACAGATAAAATGAAAATAAAATCATTTATTAAATGTTGTTAAACTCAATTTATACTTCTGAATGTCCCATGCATACTGAACTCAAAAACATAGAGCATGCTCATAGAGCAACCACTTTTGTTCTGGACAATGTTTTAGATTTCATAAGAGCACTAGGGCTTTGAATGAAGTGGGTAAGGGTACACAGAAGTGAACTTGAGGAAAACACAGGAATGTCATCCTTATAGATGACTTATTTGAATGGCATTTATTTATTTTTATGGTTTTACATATAACATCTCTCATCTCTCTGTAGCTTTCTTTTTAGAAAGTTATCACAAAGAAATTATAAATGCAAAAGATTTTTGGTTTCTTTGCAATGTATTTTCTCTAGTGATTACCTGTATGTGTGTAAATATGTGTGGACACACATATAGACATACATCACACAGACACATATAGAATTTTGGAAGAATTGACATAAAAGAGTAAATAAAACCAATATCAGGATTTTATTCAGATGCAAGCAAAGTAAACTTAAACTGTCAGCTTAAATAAATAACGGCTTTATGTGTCTCACACAAGAAAAAGACAGATGTAGGAAACCCGGTGTTAGCACATTGAATTAAGTTCTCAGGACCCTTTTCTTGCAGTTTCTGCTTATGGCTCATTTTTTAGAACTGGAGCCTTGACTGTCCCACCTGCAAGAGTAGGAGAAGGTAAATATTTAAGCATCTGTCATCATTATAATAAGAGGAAATCAAAGGAGAATTTGGATGCGGATGATTTGGGATAGCCAATCATCATGTGTGCCAAAATATTTACGTACTTCAAAATTCTGGAAGGATTTCATTATTTCTTGAAGTGAAATGCATAAACCATTTTGCATTAGTTTAGCTACCATGACTATAATTGAAATATTAAATAATAATATAAAATTAATTGAAATGGAAACCAAAGACATTTTATTGTATTTATAGGTATATTTTTATTCCAAAGCGTATTGGTAACAAACATTTAATATTTGTCAAGGAAGATGATTGTAATGTACTTTTTGAAAATAAAAAAACTATATTAGTATTCTGATTATTTCAACAATTATGTAGGATAGTTAAAGAAGATACTTAATTATTATAATTAAAAATCTTTAAAGGATTGTCCAATTGTCACTGACATCATTAAATATTTAATAGTGTGAAAATTATTTAATGATGATCTATTTCTTCCATTATAGTTCACAACTGAAATCTCATATCTGTAAAACTCTGCAACAACTAGTTATTTTAATACCCAGTCACTAATACTAATGAGCAAAGACTTAAAGTCTGACTACATATGTCTCAGTCATTAACACTTTGCTAGTTTTCACTACTTTTAGCAACCTATTCCATCTATGTGGAAGAAGTAAGCAGTGAGTATTTTATGGTTTTCTCATCTGCTTCACTCGTGGCTAAATAAATTGAATGTATTAGGCAAAATGTGGTAGAGAAAAAATTATTTAATTTGTCAAATTGTTTGGAATTAAAGAAAAATCTTTGCTAATTTCTGCTAGATTTGATGAAAAAAAATAGCTGTGTTTTGCAGAACAGCAAGAGAGATTTTTGGTGCTTCTGTGAATACATGGGGAGACATCAGATGAGAATAAAAATACAAGAATTTGAGGGACACTGAATATCTCAGGCCTTGAGGTGGGTGTTGGGCCTTCTTGGTTACAACTCTAATTTTGAAATACTTGCTGTGAGTGGAACTAGGGCAGAAATTGATTGAGGGAGTTGAGTTTTATACACAATAGTTCAGTCAGAGGAAGAAAAAGACTAATAATCACAGCAGAAGCCAGATGTACAGGTAAGCATCAGCTCACACTTTAATAACATAAATTTAAAGAAAATTGACTTTGAGAGTTGAGATTATTTGCCCTTAGTGTAATAAATTGCATGCTCTTGATCTGAAGATAATATACCTTCTAATAGCAGCAAATAATGTTTGCTCAAAGAGTTCCTTTATTTAAACAAATTAAATGGGCTGAATTTTCCCAAACTGCAAACCCAGACTTCCACAGGCTTCAATAGCAGATGCTGAAAACATTTAGAATATTGATAGAGAAAACACACTGGAAAATTAAGAAATTTCATTCTTAGTTAAATTTCAATATCATATTTTCTCACATAGTGTGGTAGGCTGAATAATGCCCCCCTCCCAAAATATTCATGTCCTAATCCCTCGAACCTGTGAAAATGCCACCTTACATGGTTTTGCAGGTATGATTAAGGATCTTGAGATGGGAGATTATTTCAGATTATCTGAGTAGGCCCAACATAATTACAATCATAAGGATCTTTACAAGAGGGGAGTAAAGAGTCAGAGTCAACAAAAATATGAGATGAAGGCTGATACGGTTTGGATGTTTGTCCCCTCCAAATCTCGTTGCAATGTGACCTCCAGTATTGGAGGATGGCCTAGTGGGAGATGTTTGGTTCATGGAAGTGAAGTCCTCCTTAATGGCTTGATACTGTCCTCATGATAATGAGTGAGTGCTCACTCTGAGTTCAGGTGAGATTGGGTTGTTTAAAAGAGGATGACATATCCGCCTTCTCTCCTGCTCCCTTCTGTCTTGCTTCCTCTCTCACCATGAGATACATCTGCTTTCCCTTTCCCCTCTGACATGAGTGGAAGTTTCCTGAAGCCCTCAGCAGAAGCAGATGCTAGTGCCATGCTTCTTGTACAGCCTGCAGAACTATAAGCCGTATAAACCTCTTACTTTATAATTACCCAGCCTCAGCTACTCCTTTATAGCAACACAACAGGGACTAGCAGAGTAGCAGAGGTCACAGAGGTAAGAAGATGTTACATTACATGCTTTAAACATGGAGGAAGAGGCCACAAGCTAAGGAATGTGGGTGGTCTGTAGAAGATGGAAAAGGTACGAAAATGGATTATTTCCTGGAGTCTTCATGAAGAACATGGTCCTGCCAACACCTTGATTTTAAGACTTCTGACCTCTAGAATTGTTAAGATAATAAATTTGTGGTGTGTTTAGCCACAAAGCTTGTGGTAACATGTTACAGCAACAATAAGAAATTGATACACATAGTATTTTGAGATTATTTAGAACACTAAAAATTAACTAGTATATGTGCTTCATCTTGTATTCCAAAATTTATTTATTTCCTTGCCAAGTTTAGGTGCATCCGGATTTGTGTGACAATGAAAGGAAAAGTTTATTTTTATTTATTTATTTATTTATTTATTTATTTATTTACTGTAACATATTCTTCTCCAACACATGTACTTATTGGCAAGGTGTGGTACATCATTGGAATTTGATATGGTTTGGCTCTGTGTCTCCACCCAAATCTCATCTCAAATTGTAATATGTGTCAGGATAGGGACTAGGTGGGAGGTGATTAGATCATTGGGGTGGTTTCCCCCATGCTCTTCTCTTGTGAACCAGTGAGCTCCCACAAGATCTGATGCTTTTATAAGCATCTGGCATTTCCCCTGCTCACTTCTCTTTTACCTGCCACCAGGTAAGATGTGCCTCTTCCCTTCTGCCATGATTGTAAGTTTCATGAGGCCTCCCTAGCCATGTGGAACTGTGAGTCAATTAAACCCCTTTTCTTTATAAATTAGCCAGTCTCAGGTATGACTTTATAGCAGTGTGAAAATGGACTAATACAGCATTTCTTTTCAAGAAAAATGGAATCTTTTTCTAATTTCTATTCCTTGTCTTTTGTCATAATTACAACAAGTACTTCATCATTACTACTACTGTGAGGTCTGTAGGGAGTATTATTCCATTTTTTATGGGCAAGCCAAATATAAATTTATTGTATTTGAAAGGTCAGTGTGCAATTATTGGGGTTACTAATTGACTTTAATTTTTATGAGACTTCAAAATCTTGCAGTATATGTTCAGTCTATACTCGTTGTAAACATGATTTAATAATTGGCAGTATTTCAAAACTCTTTTAAAAAAAAAGAAAGGAAAAGAAACAAAAAAACCTGTGGTGAGTTGTGAAATGTCCCCCAAAGGGTAGGTTTTTCATAGGCTGTGATGAAAAATTTCTATATTGTAGAAAAACTCTGTTAAGGATCTAAATAGAAAGCAAAGGAAAACTATGTGGCAGAAGGAAAGGAGAGGCTGCTTTGGTGATTTTACTTCTGCCATTTGTCTCTTTAAATAAATTGAAAAGGTAACAAAGGAACTATAATACTATAATTTAATGTACTGTACTATATTGTTTATTGAGAGAAAATAGAAGTAGCAAAAATATTGTATTTCAAAACGTTATTTTATAAAATTATTTCAATTGCTACCATCTTTTACCTATAAATTTATTTTTGCTCAACAGCATTTGTTTATTACGTACAGACTCTAATAGGAGTTCTATCTAACCAAATTTTTTTCAAGATGAGATATCTACATCGAGTGGCAATTCAAACAATGCTCAGGATGCTGGAAATTACTCCATTCCTGTAGTTAACTTGTGTACTTCCCTGCTTTGGATATTATAAAGAACCATATTTATAAAAGAGTAATATCTTTTAGCATTTAGAAAACAGCGTCAAGATTGTTGAAATGGTTTAAAAAACTATTTGAATTTCCTCTGCATCTCTCTACATAGTTTTTTCCAATGGTACATTTGATGTTTAATTTTATTTGCTATCTCATTAGTGAGGTAAAATTTAATTCATTTGGGCAACATTTTAATGGCATGGTATTTGACCAAGAAATAACATTTACTTCAATGTTATATACTAATTTAGCTATATATATATATAGAGATATATAGATATATACACACATACACACATACTGTTTGTATATGTGAATGTATGTGTACATATATATGTGTACACATATACATGTATATGTGAATATATATGTGTGTGTGCTATAAGGATTTTGTGCACCAAAATGTCTAAGTCTAAAGGCTGTATGTTTATATAAGCAAACTCACAAATTTACAAATTCATTAATGAGCTGCTTAAGATAGATTTGGCTATTCAGGGACTTTGTTGGTTTCATATAAATTTTATAATAATTTTTCTGTTTCTGTAAAGAATGCTATTGGTATTTTGATAGTTATTGCATTGAATCTGTAGATTGTTTTGGGTATTACAGATATTTTAACAATACTGATCCTTCCAATTCATGAATATGAAATATTTTTCCACGTTTTTGTCTTCTCTTCAATTTATTTCATCAGTTTTTTATAGTTTGCATTATAGATATCTTTCCTTTTTCTGATTAATTCCTAGGCATTTAGTTTTATGTGTGACTATTGTAAATGGAATTACTTTTTTCTTTTTCAGATGGTTCACTGTTGACATATAGAAATGCTATTGGGTTTTGTATGTTGATTTTGTATCCTGCAACTTCACTGAATTCGTTTATCAGTTCTAATAGTTTTTTGTGGAGTCTTTAGGGTTTTCCAAATATAAGATTATATCATCTGCAAACAAGAATAAGCAGTGGTGACAGTGGGCATTCTTGTTGTGGTTCAGGTCCCAGAAGAAAGGCTTTCAGTTTTTCCCCATTAAGTATGATACCAGCTGTGGGTCTATCGAATATGGCTTTTGTTATGTGGAGCTGTGTTCCTTCTAGCTCTAGTTTTTTGAGGGTTTTTAATCATGAAGAGGTGCTGGATCTTATCAAATGCCTTTTTAGCATCAGTTAAAATAATCATATGGTTTCTGTCCTTCATTCTGTTGATATGATATATCATGTTGATTGATTTGTGTATGTTGAACCATCTTTGAATTTCTGGGATAAATCCAACTTTGTCATGATGAATAAACTAATGTTTTTTTTTGTTTTTGTTTGTTTGTTTGTTTTGAGACAGAGTCTCATTCTGTTTTCCAGGCTGGAGTTCAGTGGCATGATCTTGGCTCACTGCAACCTCCGCCTCCTGGGTTCAAGTGATTCTGGTGCCTCAGCCTCTAAGGTAGTTAGGATTACAGGCGTGAGCCACCACACCTGGCTAATTTTTGTATTTTTAGGAGAGATGGGGTTTCACCATGATGGCCATGCTAGCCTGGAACTCCTGACCTCAGGTGATTGGCCTGCCTCGACCTCTCAAAATGCTGGGATTACTGGCATGAGCCACCAATCCTGGAACCATGAATCGTGGCCTCTAATGAACTTTTGCAGTTTGTTTGCTAGTATTTTGTTTAGGATTTTTCCATAAATATTCATCAGAGGTACTGGCCTGTAGTTTTCTTTTCTTGATGTGTATTTGTCTGGTTTTAGTATTGATACTGGCCTCAAACAATGAGTTTCGAAATATTCTTTTCTCCTCTATTTTTTGGAACAGTTTCAGTAGGATTAGTATTAGTTCTTCTTCAAATGTTTGATAATATTCAGCAGTGAAGCCATTAGGTCTTGGGCTTTTCTTTACTGGGAGATGTTTTATTATGACTTCAGTTTTGTCACTTATTATTGGTCTGTTCAGGTTTTGGACTTCTTCCTGGTTCAATCTTGGCAGGCGCATGAGTCTAGAAATTTGTCCATTTCTTCTAGATTTTTCACTTTATTGGCATATAGTTGCTCGTAGTAGCCACTATTAATCTTTTGAATTTCTGCCGTGTCAGTTGTAATGTCTCCTTTTTCATTTCTGATTTTATTTATCTATATCTTACTCTCTTTTTTCCTTAGTCTGGCTAAGGGTTTGTCAATGTTTTTTTAAATTTTCAAAAAAAAAAACCCAGCTTTTTATTTGCTTGCTCCTTTGTATTGTTTTCTTCATTTTAAATTCATTTATTTCTTCCCTGATTTTATTATTTATTTTCTTCTACTAATTTTGGATTTGGTTTTCTTTTGTTTTTCTAATTATTTAGGATGCATTTTTAGATTGTTTGAAGTCTTTCCTCTTTTTTAATGCAGATAATTATAGCTATAATCTTCCCTCTTAGTACCGCTTCTGTTGTGTCCCATAGGTTTTGGTATGTTGTGTTTCCATTATAATTTGTTTTAATTTATTTTCAATTTCCTTCTTAATTTCTTCATTAATCCACTGGTCATTAAGGAGCATATTGTTTAATTTCCATGTATTTGTATAGTTTGCAAAATTTCTCTTGTTATTAATTTCTAGCCTTATTCCATGTGGTCAGAGAAGAAGCTTGGTATTATTTCATTTTTTTTGAATGTTTTAAGACTTGTTTTGTGACCTCTCATATGGTCTATTCTTGAGAATGATACATGTGGTGAAAAGAAGAATGTGTATTCTGCAGCCACTGGATGAAATGTTCTGTAAATACCTATTAGATCCATTTGGTCTGTAGTGCAGATTAAGTTTGATGTTTCTTTCTTGATATTCTGTCTGGAAGATCTGTTTAATGCTGAATGCGGAGTGTTGAAGTTTCTAGCTATTACTGTATTAGGACCTATCTCTCTCTTTAGCTTTAATAATATTTCCTTTATATATTGAGGTGCTTCAGCGTTGCGTGCATACATATTTAAAATTGTTATATACTCTTGCTGAATTGATGCCTTTATCATTATGTAGTGACCTTTGTCTCTTCTCATAGTTTTTGTCTTGAAATCTATTTGTCTGATACAAGTATAGGGATTCCTGCTCTTTTTTGGTTTTCATGGTCATGAAATATCTTCTTCTATCGCTTTATTTTCAGTCTCTGAGTGTCTCTATAGGTGAAGTGTGTTTTTTATAGGCAATAGATTAATGGGTCTTGTTTTTTCATTCTTACAGCAAGTCTATATCTTTTGATTGGATAGTTTAGTCCATTTGCATTCAAACTTATTATTGATAAGAAAGGACAGACTCCTGCTATTTGGTTGTTTGTTTTCTGGTTGTTTTATGGTCTTTTCTTCCTTCTTTATTTCCTTCCTGTCTTTTTTTTAGTGACGGTGATTTTCCCTGACAATATGATTTAGTTTCTTGCTTTTTATTTTTTTGTGTCTCCATTGTATGTTTTTTGATTTGAGCTTATGATGAGGCTTGTGAATACTACCTTATAACCCATTATATTAAGCTGACAAGTTAACACTGTTCGCATAAACAAACAAGCAAAAAGAAAACTAATAAAGACCCTATGCCTTAACTTTGTCCACTTGCTTTTTAACTTTTTGCAGTTACTATTTACATCTTATTGTACTGCCTATATCTGGAAAATTTGTTGTAATTATTTTTGATTGGTTTTATCTTTCTACTTAGATAAGAGTAGTTTTACAAACCACAGTTACCGTATTATAATATTCTGTGTTTTTCTGTGTATTTACTATTTCTGCAAGTTTTGTACCTTCAGGAAATTACTTATTGCTCATTAATGTCCTTTACTTTCTAACTAAAATATTCCCTTTAGAATTTCTTGTGGGACAGGTCTAGAGTTGATGAAATCCCTCAGCTTTTGTTTGACTGGGGATGTCTGTATTTCTCCTTCATGTTTGAAGGAACTTTTCGGCAGATACACTATTCTAGGGTAAAAGTTTATTTTTCTTCAGCACTTTATATATGTCATATCACTCTCTTCTGCCATGTAAGGTTTCCACTCTAAAGTCAGCTACCAGACCTATTGGAGCTCCATTGTGTGTTACTGGATTTTTTTTCTCTTATTGCTTTTAGGTTTCTTTCTTTATCCTTGAACTTTGCAAGTTGAGTATTAAATGCCTTGAGGCAATCTTTTTTGGGCTAAATCTGCTTGGTTTTCTATAACTTCTTGTACTTGGATATTGATATCTTTCTCTAGGTCCCTGGTGCCTTATTTAGTTCATTTGGTGAAATTATGTTTTCCTGGGTGGTGTGGATGTTATTAGATGTTCTTCAGTATCTGGGCATTGAAGAGTTAGGTGTTTATTACAGTGTTCACTGTCTGGGCTTATCTGTAGCCATCCTTCTTGGGAAGGCTTTTCAGATATTTGGAAGGATCTGGGTGTTGTGATCTAAACTTTAACTGCTTTAGAGGGCACTCCAAGCCCAGTAACGCTGTGGTTCTTGCAGACTCATAGAGATACCACTGTGGCGGTCTTGGACAAGATCTGGGAGGATTCTCTGGATTACCAGGCAGAGACTCTTGTTTTCTTCCCTTACTTTCTCCCATACTAACAGAGTCTCTCTCTCTCTTCTGAGGCACCTAAATCTGGGGATGGAGTGATGCAAGCACCCCTGTGGCTACTACGACTGTGCTGGGTCAGACCTGAAGCCAGCACAGCGCTAAGTCTTGCCAAAGGCCTGCTGTAATCATTCCCTGGCTACTGCCTGTGTTTACTGAAGAGTCTAGGGCTCTACAATCAGCAGGCCAGGCCTATGTCTTTCCCTTTAGAGTGGTGAGGTCATGTAGGCCGCAGATGTGTTCAGAAGTGCCATCTGGTAGTTAGGGTTTAGGATAAAAACACCTTAGAAGTATACCTGCTGTTCTAGTGTACTGCCACTGAGCTGGCACTCAAACCACAGCACATAATCCTTCCCACTCTTGCCTCCCTCTTCCAAAGGCAGAGGAGACTCACCCCATAGCCACTGCCACCCCAGGCCACGAGGAGCACTGCAAGACCACCACCAATGTTCCCTTAAGGCCCAAGGTACTTATGTCTACTTGTGTTAAATGCTGCCTGGCCTGGAACTCACCCTTCAGGGCAATGGCCTCCCCTCTGGCCCAGGACAGGTCCAGAAATTCCATCCAAAAGTCACGTCCTGGAATCGGGGACCCCAAGAGCCTCCTTGGTGCTCTACCCCACTGTGGCCATACTGGTACCTAAGGTGCAAGACAAAGTCTCCTTTGCTTTTCTCTCTTCTCTTCTCAAGCAGAAGCAATTTTGCCCCATAGCCACCACAACTAGTAATGTACTGAGACTCACCTGAAACCATCAAGTCTCAGAGGCTCACCTAAGGCCCTCCATACCCAACTACCTGGGTATCACCTCTGGTTGTTCAGGGCCTAAGGGTTCTTCATTTAGCAGATGACGAGTTCTACCAGAACTAGGTCCTTTCCTTCAAGGAAGTGGGTTCCCTTCTGGCCCAGCATGTATCTAGAAATGTTGCCCAGGAGCTAGGGTCCGGAATGGGGGCCTTACATCTCTGCCCAGTGCCCTATCCTGCTATGGCTGAGCTGGCATCCAAGATGCAGGACAAAGTCCTCCCCACTCTTTCTTCTCCTTTCCTCAAGTGGAAGGAAGGGGTCCATTTTGGAGCCGCAAACTGTGCAGCCTGGGGTGATGGGAGGGGTGATGCCAGCACTGCTTTGGCTGCACCAGCTGGTGTCTCAGTAAGTCACATCCCCCTACAATCCAGTACTCTTTCTCTGGGCCTAGTTCAGCACTAGGACACACCTAAGAGTTGCAGTACTTATGGGATAGACTGCCTTTCAAGTTTACTTAGGGACACAGAGCACCGTAGCCCTAAGTGGTGAGGTTTGCAGGAACTCAAGTTCTGCCCACTGGGATCCGTGATTCTGTTCTGGATAGGGCTAGTTTAAATGTTCCCTCTGTGGATGGGCATCAGCTGAGTTTGTTCCTGTTTTCTTTTCTTTTCTCCTCTGACAGGAAAACACTGAGTTCAATGCCGCACAAATTGTTTGCTGTGCTCTCCCCCAGTGCCCAGCCAGAGATGTACTCTGCTTAAGGGGCTGAGGATAGGAAGGGGTGGCATCAGTGGCTATTCAAGACTATTGTTTCTATATTTTCAGTGCCTCTTTCCACGATATGAAGTTGAAACCAGTTACTATGAATGCTCATCTGATTTTTGGTTCTTATGAAGGTGTTTTTTTTTCTGTGTAGATGTTGTTAAATTGGTGTCCTTGGTTGGGAGTGTTGGGGGACGATTAGTGGAACCTTTTGTTCCACCATTTTGCTCTGCCTCCCTTTCCCCATGGTGTAAATTAACATCAGGACAGAGAACTGCAGATTGAAAAGATGATGCCTTTTTATTTCATAGATTTTTATCAAAATATATATTGGGGGGCTGGGCATGGTGACTCACGCCTGTAATCCAGCACTTTGGGAGGCCGAGGCGGGCAGATCACCTGAGTTCAGGAGTTCGAGACCAGCCTGGCCAACATGGTGCAACCCCATCTCTACTAAAAGTATAAAAATTAGCTGGGCCTGGTAGCAGGTGCCTGTAATCCCAGCTACTTGGAGGCTGAGGCAGGAGAATGGCTTGAACCTGGTAAGCAGAGTTTGTAGTGAGCTGAGATTGTGCCACTGCACTCCAGCCTGGGCAACAGAGTGAGACCCCATCTCAAAAAAAAAAAAAAAAAAAAGAAGTATGTACTAGGTAAAGCTCACAAATCTTGAGTACAATTTGGTGAACTTTTACATATGCATACACACACCAGAACAAATAAATAGAGTGTTATCCACACCCTGGAAAGTTTTCTTGGGCTTTTTTCTAGTCAATATCCCCCTTAATAAAAAATCATTATTTTGAATTTTATCACTTTTTAGCCTGTGTTTGATTTTATGCATTTTAAATTTCATTGATATATGATTAAAAGGCATTAAACTGAACATATTTAAATTATACAATTTGATTAACTTTGACATATGCGTATGCCTGTGAAATCATGACCTCAACCAATATAGTATTTCCATGGCCCAATTTTGCCTATTTTGTGCAACTAAATAGAGTCAGGCAGAGTAAACTTCAACAGTTTCTAGTTTCTTTTATTCATCATTATGTCTGTTAGATTCATTCCTGTGGTTGTGTTTAAGCATAGTATATTTTTTAATATAAAAAACTTCTGTGGAGTATTTCATCACGTAAATAAATCATGATTTATTTATACATTCTACTGTTGTCAGATATTTGGACTGTTTTATATTTTGCACTATTATGAGTAAAGCCATTATCTACTTTCCTGTATGTGTCTTTTGGTGAACATATAAACTCGATTCTCCTGGGAATATGCCTAAGTGACATACTGCTAAGTTATAGGTTGTATGTGTTTAACTCTAATAGAAATTGACATAGAATTACTCAAAATGATTTTAATAATTTACATACCCATTGGCAATGCAGGGGTATGCTGGTCACTTTACATCCTTGCCAGCATTTATATTGTAATTTTAAACATTGTATCAGTTCTGGTGGTTTTGTACTGTTACCTCATTTTGGTATTAGTTTGAATTTTCCTGATGGTTAATCGTGTTGACCACCTTTTCATATGCTTGTCTTTTGAAAATCCAATCTTAAAAAGTGTCTTAAGACTTTGTACTGTTTTTAGTAGACTTGTTTATTTGTATAGATTTCTAGTATTTATTTGTATATTCTAGATTTAAATTCTTTTTATATTATGTTTATTGCAGTTACTGTCACCATACCTAAAAAAAAAGGGAGATGATTCAGTAAAGAGAGAATTCAACATAAGAAGGATGAAGGGAGTTCCTAAAATGTGGTGAGAGACAATACTAGAATAATTACTGTACAGAGGGTCCAGACAGCAATCCATCCAGACAATACAGACTGGGTTTTGTGAAGAGAAATTTTATTGAGAAGTAGATGAAGCTTGTGCTTAGATTTAATGCTTAAAAAAAATAGTAAATTAAAAGGGGAAAAATGATGTAGAAGAAATAAGAGATTTGTCTACAAGAGAGAAGGTATTAATAATCAGCTGCATGGTTTAGCATGAAATAATAATCATTAATGATAATAAAAATACTGAAAATTAGTTTTACACTAATAGTGATATAATGATGTTGAAAAGATGGAGGAGTGACAAGTGGTATAAAAAAAGGTTGATTCATTACTACAAGAAGTAAATAATATTTACTGATGATTAATTCAAGTACATTTATACTATTTGGCAATATGCAAACTAAAACTAGAAAGAATTGAAATATTTTTGTCTGGGGAACACGAAGGGGTAATGGAAAAATGTGTGATAGAGAAACACATGCTTTTGTTTTAAGCTTTTAAAGATTATTTTAAAGCTATATACATTTATTTGTTTTTAAAAATGTATAATTCTATTCCAAAAAAGCAGAACTAGTTAAGAAACCTAAATGAGTGGTATTATTCTAGTTTAATGATTTAGAAAAATGTGAATTATTTGTCCTCCAAACAACCTTTAATACCTCTGAGACTGAAAGCAGGCTCAGGTGACAAAGATAAACTAGAGCAAAAGGAGCAATGAGCAAAGAGGAAAGAAAATTACAATTGGAATGTGCTTTCCTAAGCTCATGTACTTGAAAAATTTGTTTGAATGTAATCAGTACAGCTCAACTAAACTCTAATTAGTTAGATTTGTCTTTAAATAATCTGAGCTCCGAAGAAAATAGAATGACTTTATATTTTTTTCTGTTTTATTCATTTAATTATTTTATAATTATATTTTGTTAAATCATTGATATCTATTTTTTATAAATCAATCTGCATGACTGTTCCCTAACTTGTTTAATATCTTAAATTCATGACTGAAAATGACATATATTTACATAAGAATCGATGTCCCTTTTAAGCACTTATAATAATATAACTGGCAAAAGCAATTCTTTTATCTGTAAGCATAAAATTTCTCTGTAATTTTATTCTATGTAATTTTTTCAAGTATCTGGAAGTTCCAATTTTACTTTTGGAGATAATATACTCCTAGATCCTTAATGTCACATAACTGGTAGGGAGAACAAAAATTTAATTATGCATGTCTCTAGTGATACTTTGCTACCACAAATATCACTAAGCATTCCATTGAATCTCAATATATTGCATTTCTTTTTTTCATTCCCAAATATATGTTCTCTAATGTGATCTACATTTTATTCTAATTGTATCTGTTGATCTCAAAATCTTTGAAGAGCCAGATTATTTCATTGACTAAACTTCCACCAACAAAGACACAAATGATTAAGTCTCAGAAGGGAGTATTGGCCTAGAATTATTGTGAGGTTGTTAAGCATACCAACTCTGGGAAAATTCAAATGAGAAAACCCACCGACAAATACGTTATTTGCTTCTTTGTTTCAAATCCTTACTGAACTTGCTTAGAATTATAGAATACTTCTTCTCTCAAGAGAAGACACACAGGGATCATGTTTTACTTCATTTTACTGACTCATTCTACACTCTGCCTCCACCAGCTGACCAGTAAAAACATAAATTCCAGTTTGCTATCATTGGGACTCATTTCCAGACAATGACTGAGAAGTTTCAACCATGGCTTTACATTAGAATCACATGGGGAACTTTAAAAATACATCAGATCTTTTGCCTTAACCTGAATAATTATATAAGTTTTGGGAGGAGAGGTGCTATTTAGAATTGGGTTGTATGTTTGTTTGTTTTAAGGTGCTGTGGAGTGTGAGAACCATTGTAAAACAAGTAAATCCTGTTTTACTTAAGGATCTCTCTTCTCTAACATGCCATTAAAACTGAATGCTTCTTTCCTTTCATTGCTGTTTACCTCTCCAATTAATAAGCAAGATTCTAGGATCATTTATATTATCTCATACTATCTTCTTCATAATAAGCTATAATGCTATTCTACTTTCCCTAGTTACTATCCAAATTCTTCTGCTCTAAATTCTGAGATTCCTAGTCTGTAAGCAGTAAACTTCCCTCTGCCTTCAAGCCCTTTAAATATTTTTTGCTTTAAAGAAACATGGCTGCTCCATGTCGACACCATATGGCCCATTGTTATACTTTATTTGCTGTGAAGTGAGTTCCTTAATGAGAGCATAGCTGTGTGAGATAATATTATAATGGTTGAAAAGGCATTTTGTGAATCCACAAATGGTAATTCTGGTAGAAGCACTGCATGCAGGGAAGGAAATCCATATAGAGACTAAGTATCCATTACAGTAAGAACCAAGTGCTGCCCCTTCCATGAGGAGACCAGTCCAATGTAATCAACCTACCACCAGCTAACTGACGCATCACCCTAGTGCCATATTTGGGACTCAGTGTTGGTCTCTACTGATGACAGATGGGCATTTTCAGATTTTGTTATGTTTGAATGTATATAATGAGATATCTGGGAGATGGGGCCCAAGTCTAAAGATGAAATTCATTTGTGTTTCATATATGCGTTATACACAGAGCCTGAAGGTAATTTTATACAATATTTTCAACACTGTGTCCATAAAACAGTTTTTGCTGCATTTTGACTGTGACCCATCACATGAGGTGAGGTTTAGAATTTTCCACTTGTGGTAAAATGTCAGCTCTCAACAATTTCAGATTTGGGAGCATTTTGGATTTTGGATTTTTGAATTAGGGATGGCCAAGCTATATTATAAACCAGTTTTATTTTAATTTCTTTGATTATTATTGTATATGTAATTATATGTATGTTTACTTCATGTCTTGCCAGGTTATACCTATATAAGAAAATTAGTTTTCTTAATTCATTATAATTATTAACTTTCTTATATTAGAATTTAATAGATTTGATGATAGTAATTTTCTTAGATTTTAATTTTGTTACTTTTCATTCTGCAAAAAATGAAAGTTTTTATTTTAAGCTGACTTTTTTGATATGTGTGTTTCATCTAATTGCATCAAGAGTAAGGATATTATCTAGTTGCTAGCCTTTTACTAATACGATAATTATTCCATTTTTCATGATTAACTTGTTAGTCCACTTGGACCCTCTTATATCTTGTTATGTTTTATAACTATGCACTTCATGATAGAATTGATGATGTATATGTAGACTTTTCCAGATTGAGGTACTTTATGTGAAATCATGCAAAATATTTCCTCACTCTATGTGGGCATTTGGTGTACTTTTTCTTTTTCATCTATCATTTTGAGCTATTTATTCATGCTTGCTCTTTTTTTGCATGGATTTAATTATATTTGCTTCAAATTATGATGCTTGCTATGGCTACAGCATTCTCTTTCTGCCATGCTTAAGTGGTCCTGTTTCTGAGTATTTTCACCAATTCAACAAATTTCTGGGCCTAATCAAATGGGCAAAAGCCTTAAAAAAATGAAACAGTCCATTTTACTTTGCCTTCCTTTGTTGCTTTTGTAGGAAGTTTGTGAATTCATTAGTCATCTGAGTGTTGGCTGCTAACAGAAATTTGTGTTCTCTTGGCCTGGTGAGGTAAAATACAGCTAACCAGGTTGAAAATGGTGGAAGGAAAAAGTGCTATAAAAATCTGAACAGGATAAGCTCACATTTGAATGAGAAACCAGAATATCTACATACAAATTTAGACAGCTTTAAGAAACATAATTTTCAACTGTTTCAAATTTACCTCAGAGCTTGAGAAATTAGACTGTATTCAGATTAAAAATATTTGCTCCTTGGAATCACTGTAAAGAAAATCAAAAGGCAAGCCACAAAAGAGGAGAAAATATTTAAAATGTTAAATCTGATAAAGGGCTTGCATCCAGAAGATGTAGTCTTCTTATGGCTAAATAGGAAGAAGGCAAACATTTGAAAATGGGCAAACCATTTAGCAGATACTTCACAAAAGAATATAAATGTCCAATGAGCATGTGAAAAAATACTCAACAGCATTAGTCATCAGAATTACAGATTAAAAAGCCCAATGAGGTACTGTTCCGTATACATAAGAATGGAGGAAAGTAAAGAGGCTAATACAAAATCTTTATGAGGACTTGGAGCAACTGGGAATCTCATACCTTGTTAGTAGAAAGTAAAATGGTATAATAATTTTAGCAAGCTATTTAGCAGTAACCTAAAATGTTAAATGTATACCTACCTTAAGGTACAACCATTTGCCTCCCGGAGATGTATCAAAGATAATAAAAACATATGTCAGTGCAACAATGTGTACATAAATGTACATAGCTGTTGTAACCAAAATAGCTCAAAACTGGAAACAAACCAAATATACACTATTAAATAACTTAAATAGTTGAAATGTATTGTATTTCAATAAAGTTGATTTAAAAATCCTGGAATGTCTTCTTGTTTATTTTGTGTTAAAGTTAAGTGAGAGGCAAACGCTATTCATGGAATGTTGAAAAAGTAGGAAAAAAGGTGAATATTAGTTTTTCCCTTTCTCCTTTTAAATATTTAAATATTATAATACAAGACACATATCTAATAGTTTTCTGCATATATTCAGACCACATGAATGTCAAAATAGGTGAAAATGTTTTAAAATACATTTGGCTCACCATATGATTTGGTACATGGAATTAGTTTAATCATATATCTCAACATATGATTATGCAAGGAGCTATATGAACTCAATTCATATTTGAGATTATATTCGTGTCCAAGCTACAAAGAGCTGAAATGACTGAAATGTCAATTTCCCTGTGTCTAAATAACTTCTTTTTATGCACAGTACGATACCTATTAAGTCTTTTTCCTAAAGGAAGTTATATTTTGGCACAACAATTTCCTGCTGCTTTTTCATATGGTTCAGTTTCCTGTACCATTATATTTGAAACTTCATCATTACTGTTGCAGAACATGAACTCATGATATGTGATGATGCTTTGAGGTAGAAACACTGCAAATGAGAGTTGAAAGTCATAATACTTCCTTATCCTTGTCTTCAGTTTGGGGAATGAACATATTTTCTCTCTTTTCCCCTCCATTTGTATGTAGTTATAAAAGACCTCTGTGTTTTGGGCTTGGATCTTTCCGTTTTTCCCAAGAATTAGTAATTGTAAATACTATATTTTCGTATCTGTTTCACTGCCAAGGCTTCTCTCTGTTGTAAAAATTCAGTTTTAAATTTTAGGTTGTATACAGCATTTTTTTCATAGGCAATAGAGTTAAATAACAAAAGAATTTTACATGACAGATAGTCTGCAATTTCTTCATAGCTTTCCTGAGAGGAAGAAGAATTTTCATAAAGATAGAAATACTAGGGAAAATTTCAATAAAGGCCATATCAGAAAATAAAATAGAAATCTATAATAAATCACCTTCACTACTCCATTGCCAAACAATGTCTTGCCTAAAACTGGAAGGAATATTACCAGAGTACTCCAGTGTATAATAACTTCGGTATTTTTTTCTTCATATATAGCACTAAAATCTGCTAGTGTTTGACGTTGCACTCTACATTTTTCCATTTGTATAAGATAATGTAGTCTGAGTTTTTAAAAAGTCAAATAAGCAAGATTTTATTTTTCTTGTACTTACCAAATTAGAACAAATAATAAATTCAACAAATTTGTTATTTGTTGAATAATAAAATTATTAGCTATTTGACTGGTATTAAAACAACTTTCACAAGAGAATTATTTTCTTTATAAGCTTCCATGTATTGAATAGGTAGAAGTACAATGTTCTCATCTTGTAGCTTTTGGAATACCTAATATATACTGATTACTTTCTATAGAATATACATAATGTTAAATAACAATACTACCTGAAGTTTTTATAATCTAATTACAGCGAATCAGTTTTTATAAGCTAAAGAAATTAAATCTGACACATGTGAAGGACATTTAGACTGAATTATCAATTACAATATTATCATATAAATTAATTCTGAATCAGATAATTCTACATTGCTATTACTAAAGTCATTTACAAATATAGAGTTGAAGCTTAAAGAGACTAATTAACTCATATAAAAATATGGAGCTTTTAAGTGGCAGGCTAGAATTGAAATGCTGGTCTATACGACCCCAGGACTCAGAACCTTTTGACTGCTAATTTTATATCATCCACTTTACTTGTCTTTTGAAACCAGTAACCTTTCCAGACTTAAATGGCTTCCCAAGAAGTCTTCTGGCTGTCTACATCACTGAATGAAGTGCTTCTGGAGATTTTCTGTTCAGATTTCAAGACAGCAAAAGGACAAGGGCATGACTATGTGCTCTCCTTCAGGGGGAGAATATCAGTGATGGCTTTGATGCTAATCCTCATTTTCTCTGATTCCCTTACTCCATGGACTTAGCTCCAAATTCCTCTTTATATAAAGTCATCTCTACAAAATGTGGAAATAATCTTGCTTACATCCTCTTCACTTGACAGTGGTTGTGACCTACAACTAAATGCAACTTATTAAGAGTACTGCTATGTATAAAGTATAAATTAGAACATGAAAGGCCTTTTGTTACATAAATAATTTCTGCCATTGTTGTCCTTAAAACTAATGTTTCAAGGTGACTGTAACTCATCACTGCACAAAGCTGTGACATCAGGACATTAAGAATAAAGGAGTATAGTACTGAATTTTTCACTTCAGTATTCAGGAGACAGTGAAGTTATTTTAGCCAAATATCCAAATACTATGAACATCTTATTGGAGTCAAAATTGCTTTCTTTATTTTTAAGAGGTTATTTTCAATATGTGTTTATGTATGTTAATTCCACTAGCTTTATGATACCTGGCGTGCATGGCTGAATTGCAGCCGGTCATGTCTACATCTTACCATGCATATTTCTATTACATCTCTGCTCACAGAGGGATTGATTTTTTTCTTCCTCTTTACCATCGTGTGTTTTATCTTTCAGTTCATGGACTACCCTGGCATTTTAAACAATGTGACAATGACAACAGTAACAACAACAAAATAACCACATCACTATTTATTAGAATTGATGTTAAATGCTTTAAATGTATTACTTTACATGGTCCTCAAAGCTGTCTCACTATTTCCATTTTAAAAATAAACTAACCAAGATTTTGAGAGGTGAAAGTCCCAGAACAATGTTACATCAAGAGGAACAGTTAGAGCAGGGAATGCAAATGAAGTTCATGTGCAAGGCCCCAATAACCTTTCAGCTACTGAGGCTTCATTGCCTCAGTGATCCACTGAAGCAGTATTCCCCACCTTCTCCCCTTCAATTACTTAGACGAGATCAGTCTAATGATCTCGATTCTTATTTTGCAATACAGTCTGTCCAAATACATGTCTGAAATTCTGTTAACAAGAGACCATATAATTTAGCATACAGAGTATGGGTCCACTCAGGAGCAGACGAACCTGGGGTGGAGACCCATCTCCCTTACTGATGATTCACTACAGGTAATGTAATTGGGTTGTTTATAATCTAGTTTCCTGATTTGTAAAAGGGAATCATAATAGTTTAATCTAACTCTGGGTTTGAACATTAACTAGGGTAAAGCAAACAAAATTTGAGACTACTGCCTGGGGACCAGTAGGATGTGTATCACTATTTTCTATTTCCTTCCACTTCATCTTTACTTATCTTCTATACATGTCTCTTACTTTCTTCCAAAGGCCCCACTTCCTGGCCCTCAGACGCTTGACCCTGGAGCTAATGAAATTAGAATATCCTAAGTAGACATTGAGATATTTAGATTATCTGCATGGATACTGGACATATATTCCCTTAAGCAGTCAAACTAGTGTGTGTGAGTTGTTGTTTGAAGGAATATTGGTTTATTGCATTAACTTTTATTTGACCTATAATAATACCTATCATTTCTGGAGTATTTGCAATTTGCCAGGCTTTGTGCTGAGTGCTTATTCTTCATTATTTGCTATTATCCTACCAAAAACTTTAGCAGGCAAGTAAATTTATTTTTCCCAACTTTCAGATGAAGAAACAAGTTTAGAATGGTAAAGTAATTTTTCCAAGATCTCATAAGACTTACTCTAGCCTAGAGTCCAACTGATGCCCTCTGAGCCTTCATTTCCAACCACAACAAAATACACCAGCCCAACCTTTTCACTTAAATGGCATGTTCTACAGAAATTCGAAATTATTTTCTGGAGTTGGCTCTATTTGATGTTTGATTTTATACTTAAAATTTTATCATTCAAATATTCTGTCAGTGTAGCTAGCAAGAACACCTATGTTTATTCAATAGGCTTGGTTGAACGCTTCTGATACAGAGAAGATCATTTTACTGATAAGAAGAGTAGTAGGGTTGAGACTTCCAGGTATTCATCAATGTCTCCTGACCTCTAAAGGAGGTGTAGCTAATTAAATCAATCATGTTTGAAACAGTGTTCAATTTGCTTAGCATAATTTAGAACTAGCCCATTTTGATAGCAAGATGAGCCATAGCTAGATCAATTTTGAAACAGTATTCTCCCACTTGGCTAGTTGTAACTATTTGTTTAAATGAAGAAAAAATAAGTATATGATGTTTATTTCTTGAATTAATGTAAGTTAATATAGATGTGGCTAACTAAAAATTATTAAAGAGACAATGCATTCTGTTCATATGTTACTTGACATTTATATGGCTTAGATAAGTGCACTGACATTGCTGTTTCAATGCTTTTTCCAATGTGACAGATATATTTCCAAAACTGAATTCTTAATATTAATGAGGTAACTTTAATAAACATTTTAAAAATTCCAAATGTTCTCTTCCTTTCCGGAGAGCTAGTAATTATTGTATCTTATTTAAATGAAAGTTACATGTCTGACAGCATCTCCTATATAAAACAGAGTTAACTCCACTGAAACTATAGGTCACCTACAGACATTCATTATTGTGTGTGAAAGCTAAAGATAAGATAATTCATTTAAAGGTGTATTTTTGTAAAAGCGCCCAAGTGAGATGCCTACAAATTAAATATTTGGCAAAATTCCTTAGATAAATGGAAAAGGTCATTCTGAAAATTTGGTCTGGTGGATTTTAACAGCTGCACTATAAACTGTAATTGCAATTTAAACAACCTCCAATATCACCCTGGAAAGATCATAACCTGCTTAACCAGCCACCCCTCAGTGCTTGAAGGGACAGCTTTAATTTTATAAGCTTCTGGAGAAACTTCCTCATTTATTGCTTGACTCCATGGTCGTTGTTACATGTAACTGACTCAAAAGTTAAATAAGATCTATGGTGATATGGTTTGGATTCGTGTCCCTGCCCAAATCTCAAGTTAAATTGTAATTCTCCATGTTGAAGAAGGGGCCTGGTGGGAGGTGACTGAATCATAGAAGTGGATTTCCCCCTTGGTGTTTTCATGATACGGAGTTAGTTCTCTCCAGATCTGGTTGTTTAAAAGCATGTAGCACCTCCTCCTCCTCTCTTTTCCTTCTTCTCTAGCCATGTAAGATGGGCCTGCTTCCCCTTCACCTTCTGCCATGATTGTAAGTTTCCTGAGGCCTCCCCAGCCATGCTTCCTATATAGCCTGGGGAACTGAGGTCAATTAAACTTCTTTTCTTCATAAATTACCCAGTCTCAGGTAGTTCTTTATAGCAATACAAAAATAAGCTAATACACACAGTCTGTGAGAGCAAAACAAAACAAAACAAAACAAAACCAACCCTCAACACTGAATTCCTAATGTATCAACAGAGCAAATGTAATTAACATACTTAAACATTAACAAGTTAAATTTTGGGCTGGTCTCAGTGGCTCATGCCTGTAATCCCAGCACTTTGGGAGGCCAAGGTGGGTGGATCACTTGAGGTTAGAAGTTCAAGACCAGCCTGGCCAACATGGTGAAACCCTAACTCTACTAAAAACACAAAAATTAGCTGGGCGCGGTGGTGCATGCCTGTAATCCCAGCTACTGGGGAGGCTGAAGCAGGAGAATCGCTTGAACCCAGGAGGCAGAGGTTGCAGTGAGCTGAGATCACACCACTGCACTCTAGCCTGGGCAAAAAAAGTGAGACTTCATATCAAAAAAAAAAAAAAAAGACTTAAATTTTTCACATGAATATTCTATGGTTGTTTTTTAGAAAACTCTGAAGATAGCGTGTATTTTCAGAATCTATTTTGTCCACAAAAAAATAGTATATATTTTATTATAGTTTTAACATTATGACTTTTAGAAAAATTAGGTTTATAATATTGTGTTTCTTTTTCATCGGGAAATTCAAAAGCAAAGGCATTGTTTTAGAAAGGACATGAGGTCCTAAACATAATAAATCATACTCAAAAGTATAAAAGCTAAAATATACACAACTGTTGATTTTTAAAACATAGCATTAATAATAGTTCAAATCTGTCAAAAGAAAAGTCATAGAATTATAGAAATTTTTAAATAGCAATTTGATTCTTTTGTGAAATAGGAAAATATAGAGCTAGTGTCCATTATGCCCTTATTTTACAATTTGGCTAATTTCAAAATTTTAAATTAGCTTTAATTACATCATTATGGTCTCTTTCCCTCCTTTTGATTTTATTTATGGTCATTTTCCTTTTTTCAAAAAACTTCAACATAGATATCAGACTGTGTACCTGTTGAAAGAGATTTTGGTTTTTAACAAAAATACTGTGGCCATTTAACATATTGAGTTTTTCTACATTTTGAGCTATGGTATATCTATCTGTATTACAGTAAATATAATCATAGTGTGGAACACACTCCTAAAATCAAGAAAATGTGAATACAATGGATACCAAAGCAATTCAGTGAAAGAATTTTCTGTCATAAAAAATAAATGATAAGAAATCAATTTACTCTAAATAGATGTTTTTGAACCTGATATTGGAATATGATATGAAGTCACCTTAGTCAGTGATGAAATTATATTTTAAATGGATGCTACATATCATGCATCTAATGCTCAAGGAAACAGTGTTTTTCCCCTAATTTGAAATTTCTATCTTCAAAGTTAAATAATGGCATGAATATTTTCTTAGACCCTCTTTTATCATCTTAATGTTTTCTTTAGATTAGTATAGACAAATGAGTAAAATTTTATAAAAGACACTGAAAATGTTTTCTGCAATGGCATATACATTCAATAGTTATTTGGTGAGAGCATAGTAAAGCCTTAGTATGTTTTCCTTTAAAAATGCCAAACAGGGACATGTTTCATAATAATAATGACTGAATTTGACTATAACAGTCTGTATGGCTTTTTTTCATTTATTTACTCCTGTAAAAATAATAAATTTAAAAAAACTAACCTTTGTGCTAAACTTTAGTGTGTTTAAGTGCTTTCAAATATACTATCAATTTATTTACATTATAATAATACTTTCACTGAAATTCTTATCTTGGTTTAATGGATGAGAAAACTAAGGCTCAAAAACTTTTAAGGGTCATCAAATTTTTATCCAAATATTAGAAAAATAATTCTGAAACTCAAATCCTGACTGTTCAGCCTCATTCTTTGGTCTATTTCATTATGCCACCTAAAACATATTTTTAAGAGATGCTAAGTCAATTTATTATTGTCTTTGATAACATCTTTTTAGATAACAGGTAAAATAATAAATGGAGTATAAATTAGAGGTAGTACTGTATATGAAAGAATAATTTGGATAATTAAAGTTAATAGATGTGACAGGCAAAAATAAACACAGGCACATACAATTTCAATAGCACCACTCAGGAACACATTGTCAGTCTGAAAAAAGTTGCATATGTGTGCCACTTTTAAAATCACAGCACTCCATACAATCAATTCATAGCAATCTCAAATCCCATGGATACAATTATTCCTTAAAGGAAGAAACAGTTTTAGTTTAAGAAAGCAGAAAAAAATAACTGACAGAAAGATGAAGAAAAACACCCAAATGTTTTTCACAACCCAAAGATCTCAGTTTGTGAAGGGATTTAACTTGAAGCTTGGTGCTGACCCTCTGATGCACTCTGAAGGGATAAGCCAAACCCTTAGAGATGTTACATTTTTGACATTTCATTAGCCACAGATCTTTCCTTTCTTTTCAGTAGAGCCAAGTGAAAGTAACAGATCCCATGACTCGCTTCTAAATAAGTCAGAGGTGGCACAGATGCTCTAGCCAATATCTCCTTTGTCAGTAACACAACTTCTAATTAGATATGACCTAACAATTTCTTACGGGATATAGAAAAGATTGATCTATGTAATTTTTTTCCAGAATTAGATGAACATAAAAGGTTTTATAAGTTCATTTCAGGACAAGTAAATGAACATATTCAGCTTCTCTATTCTCCTTATCTCTGCCTACTGCAGCTTTGTCAGAGGCTTACCTGGTGGCACCACGGAATGTTCCTTAAGGATCTACGAGCTTTTAGATACTCAGTGAAATAGTCTGTTGAATTCATTTTGAGTTTCATAGAATGGACAGTTGTTTTTCTTAGGTATTCATCAGTGAGTATGCAAAACAGGACTTCTCAGAGAATAAGAGCTTGGCTGGGCTACTTCCAAATATTAATGCTTCCTAGTAATTTGAATGAACATGAAGAAGTGTGAAAATACGGCTACAGATATTTAAATATTTTACATTTAACTAATTCAATCATAAGACACACAAAACACAGTGATTTCAAATTTAATTAGGTCACATTTGAGGTCATTCTTAAATGTAAGACTCAGGCCAATGCCTCTTCTGGTCTCTCCATAATTAGCCAGATACAAAACTGCTAAAATACTCAGAAATGTAGAAAGACACAAAGTAGCTACCACCCCCCCAAAAAAAAACCATGAAATCTTTAAAAGAATAATTAATTAAATTCAGGTAGTATAGCTAGAATTTAAGATCAGCAGCTCTGCAGCCAGAGTGCCTGGGGTGGACCTTGGCTTTGTTACTTACTAGCTGTGTGAACATGTGTTTCTGTTTTCTCCTTTGTATAAATTGGATAATAATATTACTTATCTTATGAGGTTGTAGTAAGCATAAGTGATTTAATATTTGTAAATAGATTAGGAGACTTCATTGGCAGATTCACATATATGCTTTTGTTTTAAATAAATAAAACAGAAAAAGAAAGCATAGTATATTGTGTTAGCCTCTAAAACAAACAACCCTCAAATCTCAGCAAATCAAATGAATGGAATTTTATTTATCACAATCCTGTTTGAGTTTGGAGGCTCCACTGAGAAATTCTATTTAAAGTACTTAAACAGGGACCCAGAATTTTTCAATCCTGTGGCTCTCATCCTGATGTGTCCTCCAGGTATTCTCTGTACTCAGCTGTCTGACAGATGAATTAAGAGAATGTGTGGAGGCTCAGTTAGGATGCTTTATGAAAAATATGAATTTATACATAATTTCCAAGCATATCCCATTGGCCAGATCTCAATGATATGGCCCAGACTAAGTAAAACAAACACTAAGAATTGTAATCTTTCCATATGTAGTCCTTCTGTTGAGCCAAAAGGAAAGAGCTGAGGGCCCCAAGCAAGTTCGAAACACAGCAGAACAGTCATTACATATTAAGGCTCCAAAATAATTGATGGCAAGGAAATAAGGTTAATTTGCATCAGATGAAAATAAAAATACATAATTGTCACACTAAGATTATAGCTAATCCAGAAGAGTATTAAAACACATAGAGCACATAAAGAGTCTCAAGTGACAAAATTACATTTAGGAGAAGTAAGTTCTGGCATTTGATTGCTGTATTAGGCTGTTTTGCAACTGCTATAAAGAAATACCTGAGACTGGATAATTTATTAAGAAAAGAGGTTTAAATGGCTCATGGTTCTGTAGGCTGTACAAGCATGGTGTTGACATTGCTTGGCTTCTAGTGAGGCCTCCGGGAGCTTTTGCGCATTGTGGAAGGTGAATTGGGAACAGGTACATCATGTGGTGAAAGCAAGAACAAGAGAGAAAGGTAGAGGTGCCACACAATTTTCAATGACCCATTATTGTGTGAACTCAGAGCAAGAACTCACTTATCAAGGGGATGGCCCAAGTCATTCATGAGGAATCTACTCTCATGATCCAAACACCTCCCTTTGGACCTCACCTCCAACACTGGGATTACAATTCAACATAAGATTTGGTGTAAACATATATTCAGACCGTATAATTTCACTCCTGACTCCCCAAATCTCATTCTTTCTCACATTGCAAAATACAGTCATACTGTCCCAACAGTCTCTCAAGATTTTAACTCATTCCAACGTTAACTCAAACATTCAAAGTTTCATCTGAGACAAGGTGAGTCCCTTTCACCTATAAGCCTGAAAAATTACAAACAAGTTATTTTAAAGACACAATGGGGATACAGGTATTGGATAAACATTCCTGTTCCAAAAGGGAGTAATCAACCAAAAGAAAAGGGCTACAGGCCGCATTAAGGTTCAAAACACAGAGATGTTCAGTAGTCATTAAATATTAAAGCTCCAAAATAATCACATTTGCCTCCATGTCCCACATCCTGGGCATACTGGTGCAAGGGGTCAGATCCCAAGACCTTGGGCAGCTCCACCCCTGTGGCTTCTCAGGGTTCAGCTTCTGTTGCTACTTTCATGGGGTGGAGTTGAGTGCCTTTGTTTTTTTTCCAGATGCAGGGTGCAAGCTGCCAGTGGATCTACCATTCTCAGGTCTGGAGGATCGTGGACCCCTTCCCACAGCTCCACTAGGTAGTGCCCCAGCGAGGACTCTGCATGGGGCCTCAAACCCCACATTTCCCCTCTACACTTCCCTAGTCGAGGATCTCTGTGGAGGTTGCTCCCATGCAACAGGCTTCTGCCTTGCACCCAGGCTTTTTCATATATCCTCTGAAACCTAGGTGGAGGCTGACAAGCCTCCTTAACTCTTACACTATGTGCTCCTGCAGGCTTAGCATCATGTGGAAGCCACCAAGGCTTACAGCTTGTACCCTCTGAAGCAGAAGCCCAAGCTATACCTGGGGCTCTTTGAGCAGAGACTGGAGGCAGAGTAGCCGGGATGGAGGAGCAGTGTCCCAAGGCTGCAGAGAGAGTGGGACACCAGGCCTGTCCCACAAAACTATTCAGTCCTTGTAGGGCTCAGGGCCTGTGATGGGAGGGGCTGTCTGGGAGATCTCTGAAATGCCTTCAAGATCCTCTTCCCACTGTCTTGAATATTAGTACTTGGCTCCCTTTTAGTTACACAAATACCTCTAGCAAGTGGTTGCTTACCAGACTACTTACATTTTTCTCCCAAAAAAGCTTTTTTTTTCTTTGACACATGACCAGGCTGCAATTTTTCTAAGCCTCAGTGCTCTGCATCCTGTTTAAATGTAAATTCCAACTTAAAGTCATTTATTTGCTCCTGCATCACAGATCCCTATGGCATAAACAGAATGGAGCCAAGTTCTTTACTAAGGCATAACTCATGTGACCTTTGCTCTGGTTTCCAATAAGTTCATCATTTCCATCTGATACCTCCTTAGCCTAGACTTCGCTGTCCATATCACTATCAGCATTTTGGTCACAATTGTTTAACCAGTTTCTAAGAAGTTCCAAACTTTCCCTCATCTTTCTATCTTCTGAGCCCCCTAAAATCTTTCAACTTCTGCCCATTACCAAGTTCCAAAGTTGCTTTCACATTTTTGTGTATCTTTATAGTTATGCCCCTCTACTCAGTACCAATATTATACATTAGGCCATTCTTGCATTGCTATGAACAAAAACATAAGACTGGAAAATTTATAAAGAAAAGAGGCTTAATTGGCTCACAGATCTGCGGGATGCTCAGTCATGGCACTGTCATCGCATGGCTTCTGGGGAGGTCTTAGGGAGTTTTACTCATAGTGAAAGGTGAAGTGAGAGCAGGTACATCACATGGCAAAACTAGAAGCATGAAAGAGAGAGAGTGGGGGGGTTGTGGGAGACGCCACAAACTTTTAAATGACCAAATCTTGTGTGAACTCAGTGTGAGAGCTTATTTATCACCAAGGGGATGGCCCAAGTCATTCATGACAGATTTGCCCTCATGATCCAACCACCTCCCACCAGGCTGCACCTCCACCATTGGGGATTACAATGCAACAAGAGATTTGGTTGGGGACATGTATTCAAACCATATCAATTGCAAAGAAGGGTGACTATCGTTAATAAGAACATATTGTATGTTTCAAAATATTAGTCGAGAGGATTTTGAATGTTCTCACCATGAAGAAATAATAAATATTTAGGTGAAGAATTTACCAATTACCCTGATTTGAACATTACGAAATGCATTCGTATATTGACATTACTCCATAAATATTTACCCCATAAATATGTAACTTATTATGGGTCAGTTCAATAAAATAAAACTTAAAAAAAGTGAAGGAGGAGAAGTCAGGCTATGTCTTCTTTTCTTTTTCCCAGTCTTAGAACTTCATTAGAAAAAAAAAAAGAAAAAAATAGTCTCCAGTGAAACTTTGGTTCTCACTGCTTCTTAACTCCATAAAGATATAGAAGTCAATGTTATAAAAATGAGTAAATAACATTCCAAATTATTTTTCTTTTAAATTTATTGGAAATTATTTTTAAATTTGGTCATGTAATTGCAGTACCTCTAGTGTAAAGTACAGAAGAAGTTTATGGAAATATGATTCCTGTATGTGCTCAAATGACTACTTCAAGTCTACAGGCTGCTCATCATAACTCTTGCAAGGAGGATATATATAAACTATATGCCAAGTAAATTCCTGAAAAAAACATGCAAATTTGTTGCCTATTTGGGAAACTGTAAAAATTATATTTTAGATAATATACATAAAGCTGGTTTATTTTGGTTTATTAATTGGTTTTGATTTGGTTATCCGTTATAAAGATACCATGGAAATTAATAAAATAAGCAAACGTGACTTGTCTCCTCCGGATTTTTGTCACAAATATTTGGTAAACTATGCTATCATGAGAGAGAAGCACACAGCATTTACCACTTTTAATCAGAAATGATCCCCACAAGAAGAATTTTCTGACCAATAAAGCTGGGCATCACAAGGATATTAGAATGAAACATCCTGGTTCCCGGCATCATGCTGCCACTTATCAGTTCACAATTTCCTATCCTGTAAAACAAGAATAATAACAGTGACTACAAAAAAAAAAATGTGGCTGTGAGAATTAACAAATAAAACTCATGTTAAGTTCTTAGCATGGTACCTTAATACATAGTTAATGTTGCATACATTTTAGTTATTTTTAATTTTTCTTTCTTGGAATTTTAAGATGCTGTATACAGTCAAGATATTTATTATAAAAACGTTATTCTTAATGCATCATTTATATAAAGTGTTCCATGGAACTCACCCCAGGAAATACTAATATAGAATATTTGAGCAACTATTAACATTAGAACTGAGTTATTTGAAAATCACAATCATCAGCTAACCCTACCAGATGAATGGAACATGATTATGTGTTTCAGTTTATCCACAGGACATGGACAAAAATGACCATCAAGCATTTTTCACATTGTGAGGGTCCTTTATTAGGATAATTTCTCTCTATGAAATGTACCTTTCTATTTTACTATTGTTGGGTAAGTTCTAAATTAATTTTAATAAAGTATAGAAAAGTATATGCAGGTGTCTTAGAATAGTCTGCAATATTTATAGAAAAGAGTCCTAAAGAATCATTTCAAACTCCTTCCTCAGTTAAACTACCCAATAAACCACTCCTTAAATGCAATTTGTGCTTTTCCATTCCAATGCCTTTGCACAAGCGGTTTTCTCTCCATGGCAATTCATTTTTATTTAGAGCTACCTGTTGAAATAAGCCCAGTGTTTAAGACCTCTCTCAAATAAAATCAGCTTCATGAGATATTTCTCCATTTCACGCTCTTCTTGCATCTTATGACACTTCATTCTCCAATCTTGCTCATATACGTTTCCATATTGTCCTCAATAGTAGGCAACCTTAGGCAACCTTGAGTTATTAATCCATTAATCATCTGGTATACTTAAGACTTTGTAAGTGGTAAATGGTAAAAGCAATTTGTTGAGCTCAAGTGAACTATAGATAAAATATATTTATTTATGTCATACCTTAAGAAAACTAAAAGAGTTGCATCATTCTATAGTCCTATCATTCTGGCAATCACAAATGATAATATTGTTACTGGAAAATAAAGCTATTTTTAACCTAGTATGATGATAAAATAAGGAAAGTGATGATAATATGTGACTCTTTATCTTATAGTGAAATGAGGTAAATAGACAGGTGATCAGAAAATATTGGAGAGTTCATACCTGAATTACAAGTTAAAAATAATCCTTCCTTATTTACAGAAAATATCTTAAAATAATTTAAGTGTATTCCTCCTAGCATAAATATGAGGAAAATGCAATCTTGAGAGTTCAAGTGGCCTCACAATATCATCTAGCAAGTCAGTAGGAGTGCCAGGATGACAAAGAACCCAATAATAATAATTCCTAGTCCTCTGCACTATCTATTCTATCACAAAACAGATGTGCTCTAATAAAAATACATGTTGGTGCTCTTATTTTTCAACCCACTCAATGAAGCTAATTATTACTTCTTAAATATAAAATTCGTTACTTTTAAAAATATTATCATAATTAAAGTAACCTTAGATCGCTTCCTATCTCTTTTGTACTAAATTTGGGCAAATGAGCATATTATGCACTTATCTTTATCACATCTCTGGAATATGATGGAAGGGCTCAAAGACATTGTTCAACAGTGGTCCGCTTCACAATCATTGCATCCAGGTTGACTTTGTGTACAAAAAATGGCTAAGACGTGCTAAAGACTTGTGCCTTTGAGCTGTCTCTGTGATCCTTTGAGTTTTCTTTTCCATCATGTAGACAGTTTTGGGAAATTTCTTAACCCTCGTTAGTGTTTTCTCTTCGGGAAATTATTGGAAATTATATCTCCCTCTGATCTTCCTTTTCTGTATTTTAGACGTCCGTTTTTCCTTTAGACAGATCTCCTCCCTCCATTTTTGTGCATTATTTATCTCAGTAATTTTATAGTTTCTATTTTATATACTAAGTAGTTTCCAAAAATCTTACTCACTATTCTCTTTGTGCATAAACATGATTGCTTTTGATTCTAGAATCTGTATTCATATTTTATTTATTCATTTTTTTTTCAATTATTAATTTATTCTTTACATAGTACTCCTCATGTACAAGGCATTGACTTTGTTCTGGGGAGATGATAGTGAACACTGTTGTTTAATGCCCTGCTTAGACAACTCTCCAGTTGCCAGCACTATTCCATCTGGTCCATTTAAAAATATGAAGAGAAAATCTAGAATCATCAGTCATTTAAAGTTTTAAAAAAAACAGCATGAAACATGGGAACCAAACATTTGAAACAGAAGACTTACCCACAAGTAGCATAGTCAATGGAAAAGAGAGTAAATAACTAAAGTGAATATAATAAATGTATTTGAAGTTATTTTGAGGTAATAGTACATCAATTAAAAAGTATAAGACACCTTTCACTTGTGACACTGTAGGAAATCAGATAACCTAAAAATGTTTCCACTACAAAAGCACAAGAGTTTTCCCATAAAATATTAAAAACATGCTAATAACCTATAGTTGAGCTGGCAGAAAAGTAAGGGGAATCCATAGGTTTCTAAAGGGGAGAAGACTAAAAAATCAGAGTGGTTAAGCATGTGTTGAAACTTTGGTGGTGGAAATGGCAGTATATGTGCTCGTTGGGGAAGGTTGCTAATCTCTTTAAACAAAGAAACTGTTTCTCTTTAATTTCTCATGTTGATATAAATCTCAAACTTCCTCCTGAAGAGATACGTATTTTGAATGAAGAAATTGTATTGATTATTCACTTTGGAACTATTTTGAGTAGCTAAAGAATTAAATGTCTGGATGTCTGATTAATAAAGTACATTGGGCTATCTCAGAATTGTGAACAGCAATTTATAATATATTAGAATTTTGTAACATATGTGCCATTGTTAACCAACATTAGTAGTTTTAGTTGGGGCACACCTACAGAGCCATTTTATCATCTCTGGGGTACAGTAAGAGTGAAATGCAATCACCAATGTAATATTAAGAAAGAAATATGCTCTCCATTTAATTATCAGCTTAGGAAAAATGATTGAAAACACAAGATAAGAAATCCCTGCTCAAATTTTATACTTGATTTTGTTATCATCAATACTTATTAGTTTAAGGTCATTTATCAGCTTATACACATCTCTTGAGACCTATGCTGTGAAATAATGTTTTCTGAAATTGTTCTGAATGATTACTTGCTTCTTACACGAATTCATGTTGAGAAAAACTCCTTTAAAAAGTGTTCCTTATAAACATACATATCAGACTAGCAGGAACAACTATTTTCTTATCTTCAGTCATCTGTGTATGATATACTTAACATTTTCTTCTATTGTTTGGTAATACTTGAAAATTTATTAAGTCTTAATTATTTACTTGTTACCCACAAATTAAGTTACATAGATTATTATAAGTACCATTTTATATTTATAATTTATATTTGACTCCTGCTAGGTCTAAAAATAATTGAAGAGTCTAATATTTGAATAGTCTAAACATAATTGAAAATGGGTTTCCAGGCTGGGCATGGAGGCTCAGGCCTGTAATTCCAGCACTTTGGGACTCCCAGGCAGGCAGATCGCTTGAGGCCAGGAGTTCGAGACCAGCCTGGACCCTATGGTAAAACCCCATCTCTAATAAAAACACAAAAATAAAAATTATCTGAGTGTGGTGGGGTGTGCCTGTAGTCCCAACTACTCAGGAGGCTGGAGCCACAATAATCGCTTGAACCTGGGAGGCAAAGTTGCAGTGAGCTGAGATCATGCCACTGCACTCCAGCCTGGGCAACATAGCGAAACTGCATCTCACAAAACAAAGAAAAAAGAAAGAAAATGAGTTTCCAATACCATTATTTTCCTTAAAAGAAATCCAAAACAATAAAGTAGAACTTTAAAATTATGATTCTAAGAGCACTGCTTCTAAGATTGTTGTGTTGTAGCTGGGTCTATGCTGGTAATGCTGGTAGAAGGGTACACTTAATTAATCAAATGGTTGCCAATATTGAGTTTAGATTAAATTATGTAAGTTATTTTAATAAACTTGTATGCATTAGAAAAAAAATCAAAGATATTTATTCACTTTATTTACCTAGAAACATACTATTTGAATTTCAACTTGGTGCTAATATTGCAGTAAGGACTTTAAATCCTACAAAATATATATCTGCAGTTTTCAGATACTTAATTATGTCTGAGGTGCCTAAATCACCTGTATTTTGGCTGTATTGTGTAGCAGAACTACAGCTATACTTCAGTGAAACAAAATATTCTGATTTGAATTAAACATTTTTAATGCTGTATCAGAAGATACTTATGTCATGGGTATGGATATTAAGTATAAAAGCAATTTTCAAAAAGCTGCTTTCATTAGTTTCCTATGGCTGCTGTAACAAATTATCACAAACTTAGTAGCTTAAAGCAAGGGAAATTTATTCTGTCTGTTCTGGAAACCAAAAATCCAAAATCAGTATTGCCTGGAAGAAATAGAGCCAGCAGGACCATATTCCCCCTGGGGAGAATCCATATCCATCACTTGCCTCTTCTAGGTTCTGGCGGCTGCTGGCATTCATTGGCTTGTGGCCACATCTTTCTTTCAGCCTTTGTTGTCACATTGCCTTCTATTCTATCTGCCAAATCTTCCTCTGCCTCCCTTTTATAAAGATACGTGTAATTACATTTAGGGCTTATTGGAAAAATTCAGGATAATCTCCCCATCTGGAGATACTTAATTATATCTGCAAAGCCCTTGTTTGTCATTTAAGGTAACAATTACAGGTTTCAGAGTTTAGGGTGTGAGTATCTCTTGGGGGCCATTATTTAGTCTACCATACTCCTTCTCAGCAATCTTAAGATTTTCAAAGGTTCAAATCAAAATCACAATGAAGTATCATCTTACCCTAGTTAGAAAGGCTATCATCAAAAAGATAAAAAACAACAAATGCTGATGAGGGTAATGAAAAAAGGGAACTCTTCTACACTGTTGAGGGTAATCTAAATTACTATTAACATTATGGAAAACAGTATAGAGATTTTAACAAAAACTAAAAATAGAACTACCATATGATCCAGCAATCTCACTACTGGGTATTTATCCAAATGAAAGGAAATCAATATATTGAAGAGATACCTGCACCCCCAGAAGTTCATTGCAACTCTATTCACAATAGCTAAGATATGTAATCAATCTAAGTGTCCATCAACAGACAAATGGATTAAAAAACATGGAATGTATACACAATGGAATACTATTCAGCCGTAAAAAGGAATAAAATACTGTCAACGCAGATGAGGCTGGAGGACATTATGTTAAGTGAAATAAATCAGGCACAGAAACACCGCAGGTTCTCACTCACATACGGGAGGAAAATAAAATTTGAGCTAATAGAAGTACAGAGTAGAATTGTGATGATTAGAGGCTGGGAATTATTGCTAGGAGAGAAGAACAGGAAAAGATTAGTTAATGGATACAAAGTTACAGCTACATGATAGGAATAAGTTTTATTGTTCTGGAGTGCTGTATGGTAAATATGGTTAACAATAGTTTAGTGTGCATATTCAAAAAGCTAGAAAAGATTTTCGAATGTTCACAACACAAATGATAAATGTTTAAAGTGATGAGTATGCTAATTACTCTGATTTAATCATTACCCATTGTATACATGTACTAAAATATCACTCTGTATCTCAAAAAATATGTACAATTATTAAATGTCAACTAACAATTACATTAAAAATTCAGAACTCCTAATTCCTTATGCATAAATGGTGACTTAAAAATTTATTAATCTTAAAAATTCTGGCCAGGAACGATGACTCATGCCTGTAATCCTTGCACTTTGGGAAGCTGAGGTGGGTGGATGTCTTGAGCCCAGGAGTTTGAGACAAGCCTGGGGAACCTGGCGAAACACTATCTCTACTAAAAATACAAAAATTAACCAGGGCACATACTTGTAGTCCCAGCTACTCAGTAGAGTAAGGTGGGAGAATCACCTGAGCCTGGGTGGTCAAGGCTGAGGTGAACCATGATCTTGCCACTGCACTCCAGCGTGGAGGACAGTGAAACCTAATCTAAAAACAAAAAACAAAAAACAAAACCCCAAAAAATTCTTAGTGAATTTTGAGTCATAATGTGATTTCTGAGGATATAGAACTGTGTTAGGCAATACCCTATAGGGCTTTTAGAGTTTAAGATTCAGTGCATAACTTCATGCATCTCTGTTTTTGATAATAATACCATTCATTCAACTAAAACCAGAAACCTAAGACACATCCCTCTCCCTCACTGCCCTCCCTTGCCTACTCTAATTTGTCATTTGTCCTTGGACTTGGGCTCCAAATTGCTTTCAGATTTTCCCATTATCCTCCATTTCTTCTGTTGCCACCCTAGCCCATACCATTGTTAACCCTTGTCTGAAGTGCTGCAATAACTTCTTTATCGGTCTCAATTTACTATAAATCCCTTTCAAATTCATTCTCAGCCTTGCAGTTTCAAAGCATTTTCAAAGCACAAATATAATATTTGCATTAAGAATAAATTCCTTCTTTGATTTTAGGATGAAGATCAAATTTCTCAAATGGCCAAAAAGTTGTAGTGCCAGACTTTCTTAAGTTTGGCTACTACCACTTTCCCCATAATTTTGTGCAATTCAGTCCACTGCTCTGTAAGGGGGCAGTGGTGGTGGTGGTCCGGATCTACTTCTGTTCACAGCCCCAAAGACCACATGATTGATCAATCTAGTCATACTGAAAGGTCTAAGGCAGGCAAACACCCAAGGCACCACCATGAGCCCAGCTAAAACTCTTTTTATTTGAACAGAGTGGAGTTATCTCACACTCTGATTTTCTTAAAGATCATCATGATGGGAAATTTTGAAATGAGCTGAGGAAATATAGAAACTGTCACAGAAGGAAGCAGAACTTCTGGAAAAGAGAAGTACAGATAAACTGCAGAGTCAGGGGGATAAGGAGATGAGCCCATGTTTCTGACTTTGTGCTGCCAGAACATGAAGCTTCACTATTTTAGTTCTTTGATTCTATGAGATCTTGCTGACCTTAAAACAAACTTTCTCTCTAGTCTCACCCTTTTTGTTCATTTATTCTGAAACTTGAATGGGTTTTTGTTTATTGAAACAAAAGGGCACTGGATAGGTCAAGAAATTAAAGTTAGAAAAGACAGGAAATCTGTGGTAAAGTACATGGATTTATTGACAACATATTTTTTATAGCATAAATAGATCCCAGTTTCACATTACACATGTCCCAATAATGTTAAAATAAGAAACGTTAAGATTAAGAAGTTAGAGCTTATCTTATAGGCAAAGTAATTGTACAATTGATTTGTAAATGTTTAAACTGACTTTTTTTGGTAGATAGATGCTTCTTACTATCTCAGAAAACATTGGAAACATTCAGCAAATATGAACTGCTTTGGTTAACACGTTGCTGATACTGATAATTACATCTTTTTTGAATTTAGTTAATTTAATTGATTAGTTCAGGGTATTAATGAGGTCATAGTTATAGATCTTATAGTTAGCTCTGTTCCATTTAAGTGACCACAGATTGACTTCCCACCTCAATTAGCCACCACTGCTGTGTATCATTAACTGCAATAGCGACTAAATTAAAATGTGAGATTGCATCTCTATGATGACTGCTTTGGAGAAATGATTCAAACCTTGTGCTTTACTTATTATGGGTCGCCAGTTTCATCTTTGTGTGTGAAAACTAGGATACTTTATATCTTTAATAATGAGACAGAGAAAAACAACCCTTTCTTTATTTCTTTCCTTTCTCTGTGAATATTCATATAAAAGACTTTTTAAAAAGTTTCTTGGAACATAAATTAAGCCTTCCTTAAAATTCTGAAGACTCATTTCTATCCTTCAACAATTACATCAACCATTTTAATTGTTTTGATTATCTGCTATCACTTTTCCATATAGTTGCACCAAGAAGAAACACCAACTAAGAGTTAAAGTTGCTCATGCAATTAGAATAATTACCTTAATGTTATAAACTTATAGCAGTCCTACTACTGGAAATCATTAGTGACTGCAGTCAAATATTATATAAAGTAGATTTTTACTTCCATTGTGTTAAACTTATGTATTAAAGTGAAGAAAAATAACAGAAAATAACAGAAATTATGAATCATAGACACAGTTAGAATTTAGTAAAGAGTTGATGGCTACATGGAAGAAATTGAAGGTCCTTATCATTTTCAAAAATAAAAATTTAATTAATGGCTAATCTCAGGATAATGTCTGAATTTCTCATAAAATTGCTGTAGTTGAGTCATCACTGAATCAGCTTTGCCTGAAGTTGGTCTCAGAGGATTTCAGATAATATTTTGAATATATGATGCATACATAAAATTCTCAGGTATTCGCCTGCAGCTAATTAAGTGATTTAATTTTCCTTTACTAATTCCTGAGTTTAATAAGAAGCCCAAATCGTGACACTGTGTTAGCCTATACTTCTTTAAATGGGAAGAAGGGGGGTTAGATCAACGTAGGTACCATACTAAATCCACTATGCTTACTAATCAAATTCTCATATCGAGATATAAAAATTTGATTGTATGTTTCAGATCCAGCATCTATTAAACACCATATTACCAGATTTGAATGATGGAATTTAGGGAATATCAAAATTAACACAATTCTTCCCAATTACACCTTGTGTAAGCTAATGCAATTTCAATTCTGAGATTTATTTTATAAATGGATTTTGCACCTAACAGAATAGTTCCTTTTCTATAACCTACTTTCTTTTAAAAAAATGTATATGTGTGTGTGTATATATATATATATATATGTATATGTATATGTGTATATATTTTTATATATACATAATGGATTTGTGTTTGCCTGATTGTAATGTGAGAGAATCATACTATATATGCTATAGTATATGTATTTTATATTTTTCTTTATAATATGGAAATTCCTATGGATTAATATAAAAATATGCTTAAATAATCTAATTTATATTTGTATGCAAAATGCTCAAATAAAGATTAATTAGTTTACATAAATTGGGTTATATCACATGTGCTGGATGATTTTTCTTTAGGGCTGGTACAAGATTGCCTGACTTAGCAAAAATCAATTAAAAATAAATACAGGATGCCTAGTTAAATATAAATTTCAGACAAACAAAAACACATTTTTATTATGTGTATCTCCCAAATATTACGTGGGGCAGATTATACTAAAATATTATATCTTGTTTATTTGAAATTCCAATGTACCTGGGTATCATATGTCATGTGGGCAGGACTTTTGGTCTATTTTCTCTTTTATATTGCTCCGACTTCCTTGTCCCACCCCCTTTTTCAGCACCCAGCTATCTTATAAAAGACAACCTATATTAAAAACCATAGGCAAATCCTTTGAGACTCTTTTTATGGTCATATAAAAGCACACAGTCATGTTAATATGTATTAATAGTAATAGATTATTATTGAGTAATTAGTATAAGTAAGGTACTCTTAAGTATGTCACATATGTATTTAAATCAATTCTCAGAATAACCAGTAATATGATAGAAAGTATTACTATTAGCTCCTTTGTATATATTTGAAAAATTAGTCTACAAACATTAAGAAACATGCTTAAAGTGATACAGTTAATAAGTTGTATATTAGAATTGGGATTTAGACCTTAGGATACTGACTCAACTTGCATTCTAACTATTAACTATTTTTATGTGTATTTATATACCTGTATTTTACAAATATTAAAACTATCTTTCATCTAGTAAATGCTAAGAAATGGAAAATTCCAACTACTCATACTCAAAAAGTTCAGAGAATTTAATTTTTAGTAAACCAACTATAGCATTATTGCAAAAATAGCATTGTAAAACATAGTAAATTAGCTTGACATTATAATAAATTTATTTCAAAGCTTTGTGTAGCATAAATTGTGACTTTACAAAAATGTTTAATTTATTTAAACCTGAATTATTTTCCTTATATATTTTCTCCCTTAAACTTTTCTCTCTCTTACCTACATATAAATAAACAGCTATTGTGTGTGTGTGCATGCATGTATGTTATCAACATATAAACATACTTGTGGAAAATATATTAAGATTTTTACTTAGCATATATGCCCACTCGGAAGATATTTTTAACTTAGTATGCCTATGCACATTTTCTAAAATATTTATTGCGCATTTAATACTGCAAGTCAGTTTGAAACACATTTTAACTGAGTTTCTGAGGCTTTACAGCTGCTACATTTCAAACTCAGGGAGCCATTCTTGAAAGCAGAGAACATCTCACAGTTCTTTGCTATCTGAACTAAAATAGTTTTATTTTTAAAACACTTAGGAAGTTGGGTCATAAATTTAGTAATATTTAGACAGAAAAAGATGTTACTAAAGTAGTTATCCTCTACAAAAATATGAGGTAAGAGATTGAACAACTTCAGCCACCCAGTATCTGATGTTATGAAATCCCAGTTTCTCATTCTACTACAGTTTGTAATGCAATTCCATATTATTAAGTGGACAGATGTGAATACCATGTATTCTGTCTGCAAGAAAAGACAATGCCAATACTTCATAGACAAGTCAGATCAAAGTTCTACAAAGCTGTCTTTGAGAAAAATATACATTGTTTGATTATTAGAAAGAATAACATATATAAAGAAATAAATACATGTATTTATTTAATATAAATATATATATATATATATAGTTTTTTTTTTCTTTTCCGTTGCCCAGGCTGGAGTGCAGTGGCATGATCTCAACTCACTGCAACCTCTGTCTCCTGGGTTCAAGCAATTCTCCTGCCTCAGCCTTCCGAGTAGCTGGGATTACAGGCATGTGCCACCACGCCCAGCTAATATTTGTCTTTTTGGTAGAGACAGGGTTTTGCCATGTTGGCCAGGCTGGTCTCGAACCCCTGACCTCAGGTGATCAGCCAGCTTTGGCCTCCTAAAGTAATACATATTTTAGTACATGTTTAATTATCTAGTAACTCTACTGACAAAGATCCTTCAGTGCTTATGGTGAGTGTGTGTAACAAACAGCGATCATCATAATGTACTCTTGGAATGGCACTAGCAAGATACTACTACTTATAATAGACAATAATAGTAATTATAATAATGATTATATTAACAACTTTTATTGAGTGATTTCTATGGATCAAGGCTGTTTTAAGGGTAATAGTTATACTGCATTGTTTAATCATCACAAAACCATACTAGGATGAGTACAGCTTTCGTCTCTTTTCAGGTGAATAAACTAAGGCGTAGAGGTATTAAGGATTTGCAGTGTTAAACAGCTAGTACATGCTCTTGAAACGGCAGTGACCTGGCTACAGAGCCTGACCTCTTGAAAGATACTTGTTAAAGCTCCTGATGATGTTGATGTTGTATATGAGTGCAGATTCAAGGAAAATTGTTAACATAAGAAAAATGTTGCATAAATTATATTTTGTATTTAAAAGTATTTTAAAGTAATATATGTTTGTTATTAAGTTAGTCCATTGAGAGGAAAAAAATTAAGTGACTCCATACATTGACTCTAATAGTCTAGTTCTACACCTCAGATCCAATGATTTAAAAAATGAATAAAAAGCTTACTTTGCCTTATATTCAACACAGTTTTTTATAGTTTTGATTTTTTGTGTATAATTTTTTGATATATATTATGATTTTTTTTTGATATATGGTTTGCTGTGGTTACACTCTTAGTTTTATTTTTTTGGTGGCCTTCTCTGGCTGGTTTCCTTACAAATAGCAGAATGTCTGTATTAGTCTCAGATTTTACATCTATACATAACACTGTCCAGAGCTGACTTGTTTTCCACTTTTTACTATTTCCAGCCACTGTACAGAACTCGTGAACTGCTCTCTGATTCACCGATGTAGTTCCCAAGCTCGCTTCAGAAACAATCGCTTCACCCGATAGGATAACACCTATTGGGTTGGTTACTCAGCGCTGTGAGGCAGCATAATCGCAGTAGCAAGGGAGGTGCTATCGATAATACTTGGAACTGAGAAATAGGTCGATCCCATCCAAACTTCCTGGCTTCTTCAAAATGGAGAATATTTTATGTGAAATAATCTTTGCCTTATTCCAAGCTTTTCCAGCCTACAGCCTGCGGGCCCCATGCAGACCAGGACGGCTTTGAATGTGGCCCAAGACAAATTCGTAATTTTTTTTTTTTTTAAGTGTCAGCAGTTATTTATTGTCCTGTTTACAAACTGGCTGTTACGCAACTAAATTAATGTTTTTCAGCTTCTTTTTTTTTTTTCGATTACCAAGTTTTAAGTTCAGAGACACATGTGTAGGATGTGCATGTTTGTTACATAGGTAAACATGTGCCATAGTGGTTTGCTGGACAGATCATCCCATCGCCAAGGTATTAAGCCCAGCATGCATGAGCTATTCTTCCTGAAACTCTCCCTCATCTCATCCCCCACCCTCAGACCGGCTCCAGTGTGTGTTGTTCCCCACAATGTGTCCATGTATTCTCATCATTCAGCTCCTACTTATACATGACAACATGTAGTATTTGGTTTTCTGTTCCTGTGTTAATTTGCTGAGGAAGCCATTATCCAAATTCACAAACTTTCTTAAAATATTACTAGTTTTTTTGAGCTTTTATTTTATTTAACTCATCAGCTAGTGTTAGTGTATTTTATGTGTGGCCAAAGACAATTCTTCTTCCAATGTGGCCTAGGGAAGCAAAAAGATTGGACATCCCTACCCTACTCTTTAGATACATCTACTTCCCTCTCACACTGAGAGAGAAGATGATGAAGTGAACCTGATTTTCTTCTTGCTTATGTAGGAGACATATGCAGACATTTGTAGGATATTTTATTTGTCCAAAAAATTTTTTATACTCCACGGATATGACTAAATTTCCATTTTAAAAACTTGCCATTCAAGGAAACCACCTTATAATAAAATTATGTCTCTATATATTTCTGGAAAGTTTTTGTTCTAATTGTTATTCTCTTGTTACAGAACACATTTCTTCAATGTAGAAACTCCATTTGTCTTTCTCTTCTGTCTCTATTTCTCTTACATGTTAATATATGCTAATAATCTTCAAATGACTGTTTATTTTCATCCTTTTTCATTTTATTGGTTTGACCTTTTAAAAAGCTTTGTGGTTACTGTGGACTTTTCAAAATAATGTCAACCTCCTAGGTCTTCAATTTATCGTAGTCTTATGTAAAATACTATGACAACTGAACAATTCCACAGTTACCTATTCATGGTCTTAAAAATGGTATTGAGCATTCATAATTAGATACATAGTTTATGTTTTCATGTTGATGTGTATATTTTCATATGCAGTTAGATATGAAACAAATGACTCCTTTTACAGTTTAATAACAAGCATACATTCTGAGAAATGTGTTGCTGGGTGATTTTGGTCCTTGTGTGGACATTATAGAGTGCACTTAGACAAGCATAGATGGTATAGCCTGCTACGCACCTAGGCTGTGGGGTATATAGCCTATTGCTCCTAGGCTACAAACCTCTACATATGTTATTGTACTGAATATTGCAGGCAATTGTAATGGTAAGCATTGTATATCTAAACATATCAGAAAAGGTACAGTAAAAATACAGTATTATGACCTTATGGGATCTCCATTGTATACATGGTCCATCTTTGAACAAAACACCATTTGGTGGCATGTGACTGTACATAGGCATTCGTATGCATGCCAATTCATTAAACTTTATATGTATATAATTATTTAATGTTTAAGAGTTTGCTCCTTTAAATATTTTGTTATTCTAATAAATGGATGTTTTCTTATACAAGCAGTTTTACGTTTAAAAATGAAATAATCATCACAAGTAAAAGTTTGAGAGATTTGCAAACAAGAATGTCAACAATCGCTCTACCAATTGTCTAGTTAAACATGATTTATGAGAAAGATGTTCCTCAGATGAATAAAGGGAAGAGAAGAACTCAAGTAATAGAAACCATAAAACTCTGTGTGGAATCCATTAGGGCTTGAAGCCTCTTTAGTAGCTGGGAAAATGAAGCAGATGTTTTAATGAACAGGAGACAATAAAGAGAATGAAAAAGCACAGCTGCATCTGTATCACTTTTTCTGACCTGGTATTTTTGAGAAAATTAAGTCAATTTTTATTTTCCATTTGGTTTATTTATGTTCTCTGTAATTGTGTCACTGAATTCAAATTTGTAAATGATAAATGTGTTACTTAGGTGTCAGTCTGAAATGGATGTGATAATTTAGATTATCTGCCTTAATTGATTAACCAAACATACAAAGCAGGCAAAAATGAGTGTTAAAATGACAATTTTCTTGCTAATAAAGATAATGTAATCACTGAAGCTAGATATTTCTGGGAAACAATAAAATCTTTTTCTTCCTAAAAGAAAGGTCGTTAAACTTGAATTATTTAAATTACTGCATTTTTGCCTTCTGGATGTAATCTATGACATAAAATGTTCCTTCCAATGAGAGCCCTCTTAGTTGTCAAATGTGTGCCTAATTATTCCTTTTAAAATTTCTTGTGAGATATTATATTGAATTCAAAACAAAGGAATATAAATTGGTTGCTTTTATGTAAACTTCTTGCCATTACAATAGTACCAAAATTGTATTATATTAATACACCAATGGGGTCAGGGACAGCACCTCTTAATCATAGATGCTAATACTTTCAAAAGATATGAGTTATATGAATATTTAAATAACAAATATTTTATAAATATTTAAGCAAGTTAAAAAAATCAATAAACACATCAGGGTATGTCTGGTTTTATCATTATGTCTGGTTTTTGTCATTAGATGGAAAAACATTTTGGTTATTAGAGATTTTTGGATACTGAAATTGGAAATGAAGAATTTAGGGTCTGTATTACAGTGCACACTAATTTTTCTATGCTTAGACATTTCCTTTGCCTTGGTGAGCTGATGTATGTAAATTTTCCTGGGTCTCAGACATTTGACTATACCTATGTGTGATGATCAAGGTGAAATTTGGGCTATTCCAAGATATTACCAAAATGTAAGAAATATCATTAAGCCATTTTGAAAATGTGAAAAATATTATGGGATAGAAAAAATATTCTTTATTATGTTAGTGAAAGCCAAACCCAGGCTTCATCAGATACATCTACATTTATTTTTACTTCTATTATCTCATAACTACTAAATGTCTTAGCTGGAGTTCTTTTCCTATATTTTCAATTATTTTATTGGAGTCGATGGCATTATCTTTCTTCTCTGCATGATTACATGTTTCTGTGTGCACATCTATAGAGCTTGCTCTCAAATGTTTCTGTAAATTGAATAAAGTGTTTTCCTTCTTTTTGTCCATGACATAGTCTCATATCATTTCAGATATGAGGCGGTCTGATTTGAAAATTACTTCTATTATTTTTCTGCCTGGCTTTTTCTCAGAGGAGTGAAACATCCCAGCACTGTCATTTATGTAAATAAATCAAAATAGAAAAGAAACCCATGTCCTATAGGTTAATCTCAGTATTTTCACTCAGGATAGCAAAGGGTAGAACAAAAATACATCATCGTCACTGACCGCAGGAGACAATATACCTGAAGCAAAAATTTTTGATTAGGGAATTCAGGAGAAGGCGTGGAAAGGTAAAAGAAGTCATCCAGACATTCCACTTCTTTCCAGCTATGCTAGGAAATGGACTAGCACATTCCACAAAGAAAAGAGATTATAGAACTGTAGAGGATTGAGGATTGAACCAATATCCTTGAAGAGATTATGGGCCTCAGAAGTGTCAGACCTTTTATTTCTTTTAGCAGATTCGCAGAGCTTTATAACCCTGCAGACCAGAAAGCTGCTCTTGTACTTGCTTTCAGGCTAGAGAATCTTCTAAGCACATATGACCAAATCTGCATCTTTTGAATGTCCTTGGGTTATGTCTGAAGCAGTGATGATAATAGCTGGCACCCTTTTCTTTCAAGGTTCACTATAACTGCGTATTCTCGTTTTATGGATGAGAAAACATAAGTCTAGAGAAATTAAGTTACTTGTCAAAGATCATACAAACTTTTAAATGTTGGACTTGTAAATTCTAAACTTTTAGGATAGTGGAGAACTTGAAGCTAAGTTCTCTAATGCCAATTAGTCAACTCTTTCTTTGTAATTCTATGTGTACCTCCAAAGGTACATTTCAGTGAATGGAGTATTTTATTACCTCAGAATAACTATTCTTCCATTAACTGTGGATTTTTAGTTGTTTAGATGTGGCAAGTGCCTTAAAGATTATTTTACCCTACCTCTGCTGAAAATGAGAAAGAAAGAAAGAAAGAAAGAAAGAAAGAAAGAAAGAAAGAAAGAAAGAAAGAAAGAAAGAAAGAAAAAGAAAAAGAAGGAAGGAAGGAAGGAAGGAAAGAAGGGAGGGAGTGAGGGAGGGAGGGAGGGAAAGGAGAGAAGGGAGGGAAGGAAGGAAATGAAGGATAGAAGGAAAGAAGGAAAGAAGGAAAATTAAATGGCACGACTGCAATTATGCACCTAAACCAAAACGACTGAGGAAGATATTCTGTGCCCAGTTCTAGGAACCGTACAGGGGGCTGTACTTTCTTACCATTACATGTATTAATAAATTATCCTTAAATCTCAGCCTTAAAGGAATATCTTTTAAACTGAAAAATTTTGAATCCTGCCGCAAACTGGAATGAAATAAATGGACTGTCAGTCTTAAGATCTCTATTTCACTTGTAGGAGATGGGCTGGCACTGTACAATAAAATGGGAGAGAGCAAACAAAAAGAGGTAATTTCACTGTATCACTAAGGGGAAAGTGATTTGTGTGAACCTCAAAGTAAGAGTAAACCATATTTGAAAATTGCTTAAAAAATTTAAACTTTTTATTGTTACCAACTTTGAATCAAATCCTGCGTTAGAAAAACAGTAGGTGTAACTGAATTGCTTCTAAATTTTCAGTGATTCCTTTTCGAGATGAGGCATTAGAATAATTTTATTATAATTAAAAAATATTTTGTTTTGTCTATTACTTGAGACAATTGAACAGATTGTGTGAAATAAAATAGTTTTTGCTATTGAAATGTTGAGATGCTCAGGAATTTGCTAGGCTTTCTATAGGTACAACTTTGATATCTATTTTTAAAGTTTAAAAAATATGTCCTAAAATAAAAAGACTTGAAGTCCATGATTCTTCTATTAGACAATAAGGAAATTTATCAGGTGAAAGGTTTTAAATAAATAGTAAGTGTTGTGAGAAATTTTTATAAAATAGATTATCAAATTATATTAAATCCCATAAGTGGAATAAAGTTTAAAATATGAAAAAAATTTGTTTTAAAATTTAAACATAATCCCACAATGTTGACGATGACTACTAAATAACTGGGGTTTTACTTACATTTATTTTTTCATTTAGATTCATAGTTGTATGTCATTGTGTTAGGTTGGATGCTGAAAATTTAGAATCTCCTTCTTGAAAATGTAACTGCCTTTAAAAAAGATGAAATTTAGTAAATTTTATACTTGATATAGAATCTACTATTTCTTAAAAGTCATATTTGTTAAGATAGCTACTATTTCAGGATAAGACACAGAGAAACTGAAGTGCTCTCTTCCACCTACATTTGAGCTCTGCATACTTTCCTGTATCTCCAAGGTTTGAACTTGAAGCAAGTGGTTGACTTTCCATCCTCTTTGTCACCTGTGGCTTCGGCTGAATCATTGGCTTCATGAGTTGTCTTGCTATTCCAAATAGTTTGCTACTATTTTAGACCACATTGTCCAAGATGTGAGACCTGGTATATTCTATTTGATTTACATACCAACAACAAAATAAGCAAATAAAAGCTAAAACAAAACCAATTTATACATATTGAGTATCTTTTATCTGAAATGCTTGGAACAGAAATATTTCAGATTTTTGATTTGTTTGGATTTTGGAATATTTGCATATACATAATGAGATATTGGAGACAGTACACAAAATTCATTCTAATCACAAAAGTCTAATCACAAAATTCATTCATTTTATATGTACCTCATACACATAGCCTGAAGGTAATTTTATACAGAAATTGAAATAACTTAGTTATTAAACAAAGCTTGTGTATAGCAAACCATCAGAAAGTCAAGCTGTCACTGTCTCAGCCACTCATGTGGACAGTCTGTGACTGTTTGGCATCATCATCATTCCCAACTCTGAATTTATGTGCTCCTGATAAGCAATCATTATGCTGATTCACACATAAGTACATAACAGTAGAAAATATAACTTGTCATTAATATAGTGAAAAAATAATGTATCCAGCATAACTAAGCAGCACAGTAGCCTGTCATTTCTATCTTGTTTTGAGTGACATTACATGGGACAAACAGCATCTTGTGCTCCTGTTTTCCTTCTTTTGCCAGGAGACATCCCAGTACCTAATGGAAATTGCCATTTGTGGAGCAAAATGGCACTCAAAATGTTTTGGATTTGGGAGCACTTCAGATTTCAAACTTTCAAATTAGAGATGATCAATCTGTATAATTGATTTTATTATGGGTCTGGAAAAAAACCAATATGGTTGTTTCCACAAGAATACCAAAAACTACAATTTATTAAATCTTAAAAATGTAGTTTTGAAAGCTCATTGGCCACTGTTCTCCACAAGTTCTTGGACACCAGCATGTTTGCTGGTTTTATCCACAGGGTCCCATCCTTGCTTTCTCGTGTGCTTTTCTCCACCACCAAATATATATACATTTAACACTACCTGTTTCCTTTCTGTCTGCTTCCAACATCTTTTTGAGCCTCATCTCTACTTTAAAGGATTTTTCTCAATATATTCTGGGAAAAGAAATCCTTCCCAAATGGAACTATGTGCTAGCTAATTTAATAATTTTTCAACAAGCTACTCTTTTTCTCTAGTAAAATTTTGTGAACCCCGCAAATGTCGTCTCTAAATTTGCTTCCCAAATATGATGTAATGATGAAAAAATACATTCATTATGTAGTTAAAACTTTCCGATGTTCTCCCCAACTAGTTTCCTTGAAGTGGTTGATGCTTCAAGGAAATATCATGTATGTCAAATAATCATGAACAATGAAGATGGTATATTTTCTATGTGGCACAGAGACAATGTAAGCAAATAAAAGGGAAATGTTTTCTACTCCCCTATGTTCTGTTTCGTTCTGTTATCTTTTTCCTAGGCGTTTGCTTTCTAAGTCTGTGAAGTCTTCTTCAGGTGGAGTTCCTAGCGCAAGGGATCCTGAATATGGAATAAGTTCTGAGGTAAATGGATAATGGGAACTGCTCTGTTCCAGGACATTCATCTCTGCATTTTCACCTCTTACTCATATATTTACACATCCTCTACCTCTCAGTTGGGGGTGCATTCTGTTGAGGTATATAGATACATGGAATGATATGCATTCTTTCCCTTAAGATGTTATTCCTCACGCTAAATCTTAACCCTGGGACACTCTTCTCTAGGACTGGGTTCACTGTGCCAGGCAAAATTTCTATGCATCCGCGAGGGTCACTGGTGGACAGAGGGTAATTGGAGGATAAACAGTAGTTATTGCCACAGTATCTTCAGGGAAAAATGGAAATAAAGTTGAATTCTTAGGTTGTGTATGTGGGCCTGGTTTTACATGCAAGTATTAGGAAATTAGATTATTAATCTGACTTGTACCCTTTAACCTAGGCCCTCAGGCAAACGTTTGTGCTTTCTTTGAAGTAGTTCTTAAACTTTTCAATTCTGTTCCTCAGCACTTCTAGACAAACTTTAGCTTCTGCTTGACCAGGACCAAATTTTCAAAACAGTGAATTTTATTGGATCTAAGATGCCACCTATAATATGTGCACCGTTATTATATCTAGCACAGAAAGTGGAAGAAAAAAGCTCTATCAATTTAACTATGACCAAATATTTTATATCACTTGCAGCTTTTATTTTATTCTTATTGAAATAACACTTTTCTTATATGTCACTCTTGTTCAACCCTAAAAAAATGAAATGTAAGTGAAAAAATTAGTTAAATAATTCTAAAACTAAAACTTTACATTCAGAATTCAAATTTTTGAACAGGAATCATCAGTGTCTTTTTTTTTTTTTCCACATATACTCATCCTCTGTGGCTTCATGAGCATTGGTGATCCAGCATTCCTTAAAACAATTCTGCACTGTTTTCTCTAGGATTATTATCTAAGCAGCTGACATCTGTTCTATAATATTAAATATTTGATTCACAGGGGAAGGCAATGACGACTACATCACATCTGCTTTTGAATGGCAACAATCATAAGTTATTGAAATTCAGGCACATTGAAATCTGAAAAAATGCACCCATGAAATACGTAGATGTGTTTTAGCTGGAAATTTCAGGTTCTCTGTCACTATAATTAAATGATGGGAAATTCTGTTTCTTTCTGTCTAGGCTTCAGCTCCACAAGCACTCCTGATCCACCGTTAGTATATTTCCAGTGGTCAATGGGAAAATTCCACATGTCACTGAGTCCTCGGTGGCACAAGGGTACATTTTGTCCAGAAAATCTTTCTTTCCTGCCACCATAACAAAAAGATGAGCATTTGTGTTTCTTCCAGTTGTGCCTCAACAAGAACTTCTTTCCCAAGGCTGGGAAAATTTTTAGAAAACAATGCTTTTTTCCTAGCACAAGGGATCCTGAATATGGAATAAGTTCTGAGGTAAATGGATGACAGGGGACTGTTTCATTCATCTCTGCATTTTCACTTCTTAATCATATATTTACACATTCTCTATTTTCCAGTCTGGGGTGCATTCTGTTGAGGTATATAAATACAATTCCATGTATCTATGTAGTATATAGATATTATATAGACACTTCTGTTGAGGTATATAGATACCATTCCATGTACCTATGTAGTATATAGATACTACATAAATACATGGAATGGATATAGATACATAGAATGGTATCCATATACCTTAACAGAATGGAATAGTGTGGATGCTTCCCCATAGGATATTACTCCTTATGCTAAATCTAAACTCTAGGGCACTCTTCTCTAGGGCTGGGTTCACTGTGCCAGTCAAAATTTCTATGCATCAGAAAGAGTCACTGGTAGAAAAAAGGTAATTGGAGAATAAACAGCTGTTATTACCACAATATCTTCAGGGAAAAATGGAAGGGGGGCAATTATGTTCACAATAACTCTGATTCCCAAAGTTTGTAGCCCCAAAAGTAAAACACACCCCCTTTCTCTTGATTTCCTCAAAGGAGACCCACAGAGCATTTGTGTGTATGCAGCAAACTCTACTGGATTTGAGAAGAAGGAGGAAAAACAGCAAAATGTAACAAATAACTTACATTGAACATTCTTGATTTTGATCCTCAGCAGCATTTTCTTGGAGACAGGCCCTGCTCTACTTCTAAGATGCTTGACTTTCTCTCATTCTGCCCTCCACAAAGTCCTCTCCTCTTCCTCCTCTGCTCTCTTGCACATTCTAATTCAAATTTCTTTCTTTCCTAGAGAACTTTCTCTGTTTCTTCAAATCATATATTTATCATTAAAGCACAAAAATGCTTCTCAGTGTCTTTTCCTGTAAAAATACCCAGAATTACAGTTATGCCCCATTGCTTCAAAGGGCTTTTTTCATGGAAGTAGAAGATATTCAAATAAAGTTGCCATAGCCACATGTGCCACGGCAGTTCCATGGCCTGTGCAGTTCTAAAAGGCTTCATGAAAGGTGTAGGCTTGAACTAAAAGTTTAAAAACAGAGAAAAGTAAAATGAGTCAGGTAGAAATTCTGGGCAGGAAGTCAGAAGAAGTAACAGAAATGTGAGAATTGTGCAATTATTTCGGAAAATTAGCTCTCTATAATTAGTTCTGATCAGTCAGAGACTTTAGCACGAGCTCTTCCACTTCACTCTAGCATTCTTGCTTCTGCCATCAATCCTTAATGATAAAGCAGATGGTCAATAAATCAATTCATAGGTCAGTCTGCATCAGAGGCCTTGTTTTTCAGCTCTGATTTCCTAAACTCCATGTATGTTTTCACAGCTTTGGGGTTGATTATATGAATATGTGATAATTTTATTCATTTTAAAATTTTCAGCTGACTCTGTGGTCATTCTTACCAGTGAAATACTATATTTAAAATAATTTAAATGATCTAATACTTGAAAAGCGGTCATTTGGAGAAAGAGAATGTGTGTGTGTGTGTGTGTGTATGTGTATGTGTGTGTGTGTGTAATTTAAGGGAGCAATAAATAACAGTACGAGAGATTCTGGAAGAGAGGGTGGAAAGGAAGAATCTCAATGCATGCACTTGGAGAGATTGAATGTAGAACAAAATTAAAGGGCACTTTAAGAAGAGGGGAAAATAAGATTTGGGATATAGAAGTTGTTCCGAAGAAAAGAAATTGAAAGAGCAGTAAAAATAAAATTTTTCATTTTACTATTTTGTTTAGGTCTCTCGTGAGAAGTACAAGTATTTGTATGCATTTGAATTTCATAACATTACTCTTGCTTATTATAAGGAAAATCATGTGATAGTGGAGCGCATGCTTATAATTTTCTGTTGCTTGTGTGGTGGGAAGCACACAAATTTCTTCTCTGGTGGAATGAAATCAAGCATGTTTCTGCAAAAGATTTCTGGCTCCCCTGAGCTTTCTGTTCAGGGACCACTGTTTGGGAGAATTTCATACTAATATGTTCCCAAATCCCAGACTCTTTCTTTAAGAAATGCTTTCGTTTCATTGGTATGTGATATCTGCTTGATATATAGTTGGTGTGTAATAAATATATTTTAAATGCATGAATGATTGAATAAATGCTTGAATATAAAGCAAGTTCATCCTGAAGAAGGAAAAAAGGAGGCATTTTTTTTTTTCCTATCAAGCTCTCTAGACTTCTTACAATGGTCAAAACCAGATTTCTAATCTGTGAAGCTACTATATGACCTATAAGTTTAGAAAATCATTCTAGACTTAAATGAAAACTGATGATATGACTTTCCCCATAAGTTCCTTTTACATATGAGGATCTCTTCCATTTTTATAGAATATCAACAACAATAATAGCCATGATAATAATAATAGTATTAGTTATAATACTAATAGTATAAGATGATAAGAGTATAAGATAATAATAGTATTAGTTATGGCTAATATTTTCATGCTACTGATTTTAGAGATTTTTAAAATTTTTTTTTATTATACTTTAAGTTTTAGGGTACATGTGCACAATGTGCAGGTTAGTTACATATGTATACATGTGCCATGTTGGTGTGCTGCACCCATCAACTCGTCATTTAACATTAGGTATATCTCCTAATGCTATCCCTCCCCACTCCCCCCACCCCACAACAGGCCCCGGTGTGTGATGTTCCCCTTCCTGTGTCCATGTGTTCTCATTGTTCAATTCCCACCTATGAGTGAGAACATGCAGTGTTTGGTTTTTTGTCCTTGTGATAGTTTGCTGAGAATGATGGTTTCCAGCTTCATCCATGTCCCTACAAAGGACATGAACTCATCATTTTTTTATGGCTGCATAGTATTCCATGGCGTATATGTGTCACATTTTCTTAATCCAGTCTATCATTGTTGGACATTTGGGTTGGTTCCAAGTCTTTGCTATTGTGAATAGTGCCGCAATAAACATATGTGTGCATGTATCTTTATAGCAGCATGATTTATAATCCTTTGGGTATATACCCAGTAATGGGATTGCTGGGTCAAATGGTATTTCTAGTTCAAGATCCCTGAGGAATCGCCACACTGACTTCCACAATGGTTGAACTAGTTTACAGTCCCACCAACAGTGTAAAAGTGTTCCTATTTCTCCACATCCTCTCCAGCACCTGTTGTTTCCTGACTTTTTAATGATCGCCATTCTAACTGGTATGAGATGGTAACTCATTGTGGTTTTGATTTGCATTTCTCTGATGGCCAGTGATGATGAGCATTTTTTCATGTGTTTTTTGGCTGCATAAATGTCTTCTTTTGAGAAGTGTCTGTTCATATCGTTTGCCCACTTTTTGATGGGGCTGTTTGTTTTTTTCTTGTAGATTTGTTTGAGTTCTTCGTAGATTCTGGATATTAGCCCTTTGTCAGATGAGTAGGTTGCAAAAATTTTCTCCCATTCTGTAGGTTGCCTGTTCACTCTGATGGTAGTTTCTTTTGCTGTGCAGAAGCTCTTTAGTTTAATTAGATCCCATTTGTCAATTTTGGCTTTTGTTGCCATTGCTTTTGGTGTTTTAGACATGAAGTCTTTGCCCATGCCTATGTCCTGAATGGTATTGCCTAGGTTTTCTTCTCGGGTTTTTATGGTTTTAGGTCTAACATTTAAGTCTTTAATCCATCTTGAATTAATTTTTGTATAAGGTGTAAGGAAGGGATCCAGTTTCAACTTTCTACATATGGCTAGCAGTTTTCCCAGCACCATTTATTACATAGGGAATCGTTTCCCCATTTCTTGTTTTTGTCAGATTTTTTGCAAGAGCCAAAAACATGCCTGATTCTGGCATGCAACCTTATAGAGAAAATTCCTTTGTAATAGGAGGATCCTTGTAGAAATTTCTCTGCTCTCCTTTTGACATTTCCAAGAAATTTAAGACAGGTACTTTCTCCATAATGGAATTTCTCAACTGAGTTTTCCTTCTGTTTAACTACCACTTGACTACATACTCTTTCATGAACTGTCATCTCGGCAAACTATGCAGTTTTCAGGCAACATTATGCCTCCTATCTTGCAGAAGGAGCTCTTCCCTGCTGGCAAGCAATACTTGCTTGCATTTGATTCCACTCTCTCCCATAATAAATTATTTTCTATTTTGGTAGTTACCCCATTGTTTCTAGTTACAATATGAGAAAAACCTAACACACAAAATATGCTAGCTACCTCATAAAAAAGACTGTAAGATGTATATAAATGTTGAATAACTTTTAGAAATTCCAGTCTCGTGAACACTATGTTTTATGCCCATGGTTAAGAAAGAAAAATATTTGAGAATATTTAACACTTCACAAATCAATCAATGCATCTGTCTAAAACACATTTTATATCATTTTTAAGTTTGTTTTATTTATTTTATGTTGTCTGTATTTCTGATTTTACACAAAAGAATTATCTTGAGATTGAGGTATATGGACTTGAGTTGGAGCAATGGCCTATTCAATTCTAAAACCTTATATAGGCTAAAGACACGATTTTACTCTCACACTGGTTCTGTTAACTTCATTGCTCAAATAACATATCTTATACAGGTTTAAACCGTCATGACTAATCCATGATTTCCTATTTAAATGATTATCTCATATGCCCTATTATGTCATGATTTAAAGTGTAGTAACATTGAATGTGCAAGACAAATCCCTACTACTCTGAGCAACTCAGTACTTGATTGTAGAAAGTCCAGCATTTAATATCGCTCTTTCTTAACATTTCCAGTAATTCCCCAGAGGTTCTTCTATCTGTGCAGAAAGAGGCTCGCTTGTTCTGTGACAGCATCAGGACTCACAAATTTTCTACATGTTATAAAATGTTTTGTGTTCCTGTGATTGTAATATAATTTATCTGACTAATTACCTACTGTAGAATATTTGGGGTTATTTTTCCACTGTTGATATTATAAATTGAGCCAAATGACCATTAGACCGAATATCAATGATCCAGGATAGAGGTCTTGAGAGAGTTTATTTTATAAATTTGTTCCTTTCCACGTGTGAAGTGGCAGTATCTCAGTCTTCATCTGTTTAAACATCCCCATGAACCAAGTAGTCATGCCTTGTTTATTATATTCTACCTCTTTCTCTTGTTTTCTTTTTTTTTTTTTGCCTTGCCATCTCCTATGCTTTGACATGACTGATGACCCACTTATGTGACCTCTGTGGTGATACTGTCAATCTTGAAACTCTATATTCTCTTTGCTGTTACCTTTTGGAATTCATCAAGTTGACTGCTGATGTTACATTCACCCCCTCCCGAATTCCATATGGATATTTCACATGGTTTTATATGCATCTCCATTTTGATGTATAAAAGGCATCTCATTGTTAATTTAAAAATCCTAATTTCTCTGTCCCACAACCTTCTCCTACAGCATTTCCCGAAGTGGTGAATAACAACTCTATGTTTGCATTTGCTCAGGTCACAATTTGAGGCTGTCCTTGGCTCTCTTCCTCATACCTCATATCCAATCAAGATCAATTTTTATTTATGTTTACTTATTATTGTTATTATTTTGAGATGGAGTTTCAGTCTTTATTGCCCAGGCTGGAGTGCAATGGTGCTATCTTGGCTCACTGTAAGCTCTGCCTCCCAGGTTCAAGCGATTCTCCTGCCTCAGCCTCCTGAGTACCTGGGATTACAGGCACGCACCACCACACCAAGCTAATTTTGTATTTTTAGTACAGACAGGGTTTCTCCACATAGGTTAGGCTGGTCTCGAACTCCTGACCTCAGGTGATCCACCTGCCTCAGCCTCCCAAAGTGCTAGGATTATAGGCATGAGCCACGATGCCTGGCAAGATCAATTTTTAATATGTTACACCAAATCTAGGACCAGGATAGAAGCTATGAAAACAATGAGAAATAGAAAAATTCGGTAAGATCAATTTTAATATTTTATGCTGAATTTTTATATTTCTTATTTTTGTCATAGCTTCTCTCCTGGTCCTGGCTACTCATCGTTCTTCATCTGGATTATTGCAATGTCTACCTAACTTATCCCTTACCCTGGTACTTGCTTGTTCTATACTCTATTCTAAACATGTAAGTCAGAGTTTTCTTATAGAATTATTATTATTTTATTTTATTTTATTTTATTTTGAGACATAGTCTCACTCTGTCATCCAGGCTGGAGTGTAGTGGTGTGATCTTGGCTCACTGCAACCTCTGCCTCCTGGGTTCAAGTGATTCTCATGCCTCAGCCTCCCAAGTAGCTGGGACTACAGGTGCACGCCACCACGTCCAGTTAATTTTTGTATTTTTTGGTAGAGACGGGGTTTCATCATGTTGGCCAGGCTGGTCTCAAACTCCTGACCTCAAGTAATCCACCTGCCTCAGCCTCCCAAAGTGATGGGATTACAGGCATGAGCCACTATGCCCAGCTGTTTATAGAATTATTAAAGCAGATCATTTTATGACCCTTCTTGAAACTTGTCATTTCTCAAATCAGGAGGAGTAAAGTTTAAAGGCCCAACAAAGGCTTATTTGACCTCACATGATGAGCGCTTTTACTTCTTACCTCCCCCCAAACTCTGTCTCTCTCCGAACGGCATTACCATTACCTTTCTTGTTGTTATTTCCACATGCCAAGAAATGCCCTACTTGGAGCCTTGGCATTTACTGTTGAATCTGACAAGAATATTAATATGGTTTGGCTGTGTCCCAACCAAATCTCATCTTGAATTGTAGCTCCCATAATACCCACATGTCATGGGAGGGACTCAGTGGGAGGTAATTGAATCATGGGGATGAGTTTTTTTTCCATGCTATTCTTGGGATAGTGAATAGTCTCATGAGATCTGATGGTTTTTATAAGGGTCACTTCCACTGCTCATGCTCTTGCCTGCCACCATCTAAGACGTGCCTTTGCCCCTCCTTCACCTTCTGCCATGATTGTAAGGCCTCCAGAGCCATGTGGAACTGTGAGTTCACTACACCTCTTTTTCTTTATAAATTACCTAGTCTCAGGTGTGTCTCTATAGCAGCTTGAGACTGAACTAATAGAGTAAATTGGTACCCGTAGAGTGGGGTGCTGCTGTAAGGATGCCCAAAAACATGGAAGCAACTTTGGAACTGGGTAACAAGCAGAGGCTGGAACAGTTTGGGGGGCTCAGAAGAAGACAGGAAAATGTGGGGAAGTTTGAAACTTCCTAGAGGCTTGTTGAGTGGCTTTGACCAAAATGCTAATAGTGATATGAACAATAAAATCCAGGGTGAGGTGGTCTCAGAATGAGATGAGAAACTTTTTGGGAACTGGAGTAAAGGTCACTCTTGCTATGCAAAGAGACTGGTGGCATTTTGCCCCTGCCCTAGAGATGTGTGGAACTTTGAACTTGAGAGTGATGATTTAGGGTATCTGCAGAAGAAATTTCTAAGTGACAAAGTGTTCAAGAGGAAGCAGAGCATAAATTTGCAACCTGACAATGCAGTAGAAAAATAAAACCCATTTTCTGGGGAGAAATTCAAGCTGCCTGCAGAAATTTGCATAAGTAATGAGGAACCAAATGTTAATCACCAAGACAATGGGGAAAATGTCTCCAGAGCATGTCAGAGGACTTCATGGCCACCCCTGCTATCACAGGTCTGAAGGCCTAGGAGGTAAAAATGGTTTCATTGGCTGGGTCAAGGGCCTCCTTGCTGTGTGAGGCCTTGGGACTTGATGCCCTGCATCCCAGCTGCTCTAGCCATGGCTAAAAGGGGCCAAGTTACAGCTGGGGCCATGACTTCAGAGGGTGCAAGCTCCAAGCCTTGGCAGCTTCCCTGTGGTGTTGGGCATGCAGGTGCACAGAAGTCAAGAATTGACGTTTGGGAACCTCCACTAAGATTTCAGAGGATGTATGGAAGTGCCATTGGATGTCCAAGCAGAGGTGTGCTGCAGGCACTGGTGAAGAGCCTCATGGAGAACCTCTGCTAGCACAATGTGGAAGGGAAATGTGGGGTGGGAGCCCCCACATAGAGTCCTCACTGAAGTACTGCCTAGTGGAGCTGTGAGAAGAGGGCCACTGTCCTCCAGACACCAGAATGGTAGATCCACTGATAACTTGCACTGTGAACCTGGAAGAGCTGCAGACACTCAATGACAGCCCTTGAAAGCAGCCAGGAGGAGGTCTGTACCCTGCAAAGCCACAGGGGCAAAACTGCACAAGACTGTGGGAACCCACCTCTTGCATCAGCGTGACCTGGATGTGAGACATGGAATCAAAGGAGATCATTTTGGAGCTTTTAGATTTGACTGCACTGCTGGATTTCAGATGTGCATGGGTCCTGTAGCTCCTCTGTTTTTGCCAGTTTCTCCCATTTGGAATGGGAGCATTTATCCAATGCCTGTATCTGCATTGTATCTAGGAAGTAACTAACTTGCTTTTGATTTTACAGGCTCATAGGCAGAAGGGACTTGCCTTGTCTCAGATGAGACTTTGGACTGTGGACTTTTGAGTTAAAGCTGAAATGAGTGAAGACTTTGCAGGACTGTTGGGAAAGCATGTTTAATTTTGAAATGTGAGGACATGAGATTTGGGAGGGGCCAGGGGCAGAAAAATATGGTTTGGCTCTGTTCCCACCCAAATCTCATCTAGAATTGTAGCTCCCATAATCCCCACACATTGTGGAAGGGACCCGGTAGGAAGTAATTGAATCATAGGGATGGGTTTTTCCCATGCTGTTCTTGTGATAGTGAATAAGTCTCACAAGATCTGATGGTTCTATAAAGGGCAGTTCCCCTGCACATGCTGTCTTTCCTGCTGCCATATAAGACACGCCTTTACTCCTTCTTTGCCTTCTGCCACGATTGTGAGGCCTCCCCATCCATGTGGAACTGTGAGTCCATTAAACCTCTTTTTTCTTTATGAATTACCCAGTCTCGGGTATTTCTTCATAGCAGTATGAAAATAGAGTAATACAGATATTAACCTAGGAAATTGCACGCACAATGGAGGAGTAAAATAAACACTAAATAAATTATGAAGAACAATGTGGACATGACATATTCTTACATAGGGATGAGGCCTTAGAGAATAGCAGAAATGGATAAAAATACTATTCTTTGATGTATTTGTTCATAGAATTAAGATAAACATGTCTCTTTTCTCCTTAGTTAAGACGTGCATGTGAGCACCTGAAGGTTGAAATAGTTTCTCTGTAAAATCACTAAGCTAGTTCATAAACCACGACACAATTGTAGTATATCAGATAGAATTGTTATCACAGGAGTGTGTATAGAGGTCCTATATAGGAATAAATGTAATAAAAATTATTCTACGTCCTTTGCAACCAGATATGGAACTGTGTTAGATAAGTCTTATACTTTGGCTTATTAAAACCAAAGAAAATAAATAAGATAGATAGATCAATCAAATAAATTTTTAAAAATTCTAAAAGAAACAACAGCAGACCAGCACAGAGAATGAAAATAGATCCACATCAAGGCATACAGTTTTGTGAAATTTTATGTTCTGGTAAAATCATTCTGCAAGTTCCAAGGAAAAAGAGTAGATCGTCCGCATATGAAATGTTAGAAATAGTAATGGCTGTAAAGCCAATGGCTTCCAACACTTGAAGCTAAGGCAATGGAAAAAATATTTTGAAAACTTTTGACAGCTATGGATGCCTAATTAAAATGTTTCACTTAGCTTAACTATTAATTAAGAATAAGGACAGAATGAAGATACTTTCAGACATGCAAAATTTCAAAATCAATTATTTCTCGTTACCTTTCACCAGGAAGTAATTTGATGTGTTTCAACCGAAACAAGGGATTAAACGTAGACAGAACAAAAAATTCTTTATAAAACAGGGATCCAATAAAGGAGAGAAAAAAATTCAAGGGAATACACAAGATACTGGTGAAGGGAGAATGACGACAAATGTGTCTCAGATTTAGAGAACATGCAGTTCCATCTAGAGAAAGTAGAGGCCTCTGGGAGTGCTTCAAGAATTTTCAAGTTTTTCAGAAAAATAAAACTGACAAATTTTTGATGCACAGGAATAAATAGAGAGGACATTTAGATAACTGGAAGGAAGTTTGGAGTTGAGTTAGTGACATATTCATGGAAAAGCAAGTGAAAGCTTAAAAATGATCACTAATTCCAGGGAAGAAATTACGTGGGAAATGAAAATCAATAAAATAATATATGTACACAAGACAGAAAAGTATTTACAGAATCAGAATAATATTAACAGGCACTGCTGATAGAACCAAAATTAAGATAAAAGCTTACAGGGAATTGATATAGAGAGTGGGAAAGATTGGGAGTAGTAGTTAAATGTTTTGTGATATGCCTTGTAGAACTTTTAACTCAAACTATTTTATGTAGCTAAGGTGTACATTCTTCCTGTTTGCCCAGGACTGTCCTTGTTCATGTCTGTTGTCTCAGTGTAATCATGAATAGCACACCATTCATTCTCAAAGGAGTCTATAATTAATTAGTCTGGTTGATTAATTATAGTGTCAACATGGCTGAGAGTAAAAGGGTTTACTTTTTGCTCATGTTAAATGCAGGGGTCAGTGGTGGTTGCTCGGCTGCTCTTTGTTTTTTCCTTATTCCAGGATCTGGGCTAAAGGAGCAGCTCCCAATGGAATAGGTTGTTCCTATGCAGAGCAGAAAGATCAAGAAGGCAGCAAAAGGATATAATGGCTCTTAAAGCTGCTATTGGAAAAGGGCACACTGTCACTTCTGCTCGCATTTCATTGGCTGTGGCAAGTCACTCATCCAAACCTTTTGTCAGTGGTGTGGGGTGACAAGGAAGGCACTGCTTGTCACATGGCAATATATGGAGGTGTATAGTCCTACAAAGAAGAGGGTGTCACTAATGGGGAACCAACATGCAATCTGTCATGGTAGACATCTGGAAAAAATACAAAATCAGTAATAATATATGAACAACAGCTAAATAACTGCCAGGAGAATCTGTCTGTGAAGTAGTAACATAATATTTGCATTGTGTTTTTTACTTTACACTGGGTTTTTACAGACATAATCACATTTGATTCTCACATCATCTTTAATATCCATTTTACAGGTGATAAAGTTGACATTAAAGATTACATAACTTGACCAAATGATAAAAATAAATAATCACTTTAACAGATTCTTATCCTCCAGCTGAATTTCTATCCTCATTCATTCACTTGAGCATTCATTTATTCATTCCTTTATTTAACTAACAGTATTTTAATATTTACTTGTGCTAGTGAGAGAACTTTTTGTGCTTTTTTAGAGCTCAAAATCATGTGGTGGTGGAGGCAGAAATGCACTCAAATAATTGCTAAAGAGTGAGATAAGTGCTACCAAAGGTAATGCAAAAGGCTAAAATAACACTTATGATGTGCCTGCGGGTGTTTGACATTTAGATTCAGCAGAGAGTTAGAGAAGAGTTTGAATCTGCCAGGTTGCTTTAGAGGGAAAGAGGAAGAGGTGAGGATGGAGAGGGAAGGGGAATAGTGAGGGAAATCATCACTTTATCATAATCTTCTGAAAATATACACAGGTTGGCAATTTGATTACTTGCTTTTAGGAACTGAAACTCTTTTTAGAGGTCACCTGTACAAATGTAAGCTGGGTAGTTTAACACATTAAGCTATTTGGTCACACATGTTCAAGTTATTTTACCCCATTAGCTGGTTGTTTACAAAGCAGAATCCTGGATAAATATGACATAGATTAGCTCATTCTGGAAGATGGAAAGGCTTCAAAGATGACCCAGGTGCAACATCTTTCCTGAGAAAGAAGCATGAGCTCTTGGACTTGGAGGTCAAAGCTAGGGAAAATGAAGATGCATAATGGAAGAAGGAGTAAAACCTAAATATATGTCTTTGCAGTTGTCTCTGAGAGGAACCATACTAACTTGAGATTGTGCAACAGTGAATCATACATCTCATTGTTGGCTGTGCTTTATTCCTTACTTTCAAGTGCTAGGTATAAAAGTCTTTGCTTAAGGAATCTTTAAGTAGAGGAACCAGGGAAAGTAGGCACGATAGCTAAAATGCACAGTGAAAGAGAACACTGAAGACTCTGAATGACTTAAGGAAGAAATAAAAAAAAAATGCAAAGTAGGAGTAGAAGCCGCAAAAGTGGGAAGGGCCAGGAACTCTGGTGACAGTAAAGGCATCAGAAAGACAGGCAGGCTCAATCACATTAGAGCTTCCAATGTGTAAAGATAAAGTTTTCATTAAAGTCACAGAAGCTTTTGATAGTGCAGAAGCCCAGAATAACCAAGTGCCACATCTGCTGCATAAGATCAATGCCATTTTTAAAGCAACAGGATAAACTGGACTGAGTTGAATCTCCTGCTGTGATTTTAACACTCCCTCTACTCAGTTCTTCCTAAGCAAAGCTTCAACGATTTTACAGGAGCTTTTAGTATGATAGTGTCTATAAAAGGCTATCTGGTTTGGGCTGCAATATAAACAAGCAAAATCATTTAGTTATTGCCTCATCTCAGATTTATGCTCGTTGATATACCAGGGATTTCCTCACTTTTTTTTTTCTGGAAATATTAAACTGTGAGATATTTGAATTTTGTTAACAAGTTAACAATATAAATATTATTCAAACTAAATGGCATTTGTTATCAGATAAAACTCTGTTCTTCCTAAACATGAACACACAATAAGCATGTTTGAATATTAATATGTAGTGATGTATAAATATATATGTGATATATAAATATGTAAAAAACATATAACAATAAGCAAATATGTTATTTCTGAGATTGAGAGATACATTAATAACTGTTTTGTTTTATTTTTATTTATGTATGTGTTTATTTATTTTTGAAATGGAATCTCTCTCTCCAGTCTGTCGCCCAGGCTGGAATGCAGTGGTGTGATCTCAGTTCACTGCAGCCTCCGCTGCCTCCTGGGTTCAAGCGATTCTCTGGCCTCAGGCTCCAGAGTAGCTGGGACTACAGGTGCATGCCATCACCGCCCACTGATTTTTGTATTTTTAGTAGAGATTGGGTTTCCCCATGCTGTCCAGGCAGGTCTCAAACTCTTGACCTCAAGTGATCCCGCCTGCCTCAGCCTCCCAAAATTCTGGGATTACAGATGTGACTTACCGCACCCGGCCTATAATTAGTTTTAAAGCTTCAATCTTTTGCTTCCCCTCCCCTCCCCTCCCCCTTCCCTCCCCTTCTCTCCTTTCATTTTTTGACAGTCTCACTCTGTCACCCAGGCTGGAGTGCAGTGGAGGGATCTTGGCTGACTGCAACCCCCATCTCTTGAGTTCAAACGATTCTCATGCCTCAGCCTCCTGAGTAGCTGGGATTACAGGCATTCGCCACCACACCCAACTAATTTTTTGTATTTTTAGTAGAGATGGAGTTTGCTATGTTGGCCAGGCTGGTATGGATCTCCTGTCCTCAAGTGATCCATCTGCCTCAGCCTCCCAAAGTGCTGGGATTACAGGCATGAGCCACCCTGCCAAGCCAAAACTTCAATTTTCCACATATTTGACTTGATTTTGGCTTTCTTTGGATTTTGGATTAGTAATTGTTAAATTATCCCTTTAAAATGTTTTATTTTTAAATTTCCAGCTTTCTTAATGAATTGGGGTTTTGAAATAATATGAGGAAAATCTAGAAGCTATTAACACTAATGAATGATACACTGATAAGAAGAGGGCAGAAGTTATTCTATGAAGATATTGAGAAAGTATGAGTTGCAGCATTAAATATCTACTTAGGGGAACAAAACTTGAAATTCTAAAATCAATCTCTATCACATTTGTTTATGATTTTGGTAGTGTTGCCCAAATCTATATAAAGGCTAATACCAGACTGCTTTTAAATTATTTACATGCACTTGGGGAATATCTTCTAAAGCTTTATTTCCTTTAATTTACAGTATTCGTTCTTTCATTTTAAAAGTCTGTGTTAAACGTGTTGTTTTGCTTATAGGCCAAAAATGCTGTATGAGGTAAGAGTACTATGAAAATATTATGTTTCAAAATAGCATAGTTGTATTTTTAAAAATGAATCTTTCACTATCATACTGAAATTCAAATATGCAATAATAGCTATTGATAAGAGTAAAAAAATTGCAATTTTTTATTACTATGTGTTTGAATAATAGAATATCTGGTTAGACAAAGTGAGTAAATAGCTATTTTGAAAGTTCAAAGATCCTGACCCTTGGTCATTCTCTCTCCCTATCTTTCCCTCTCCCTCTTTCTTTTTCTCTCCCTGGCTCCCTCCTTTCTACCCTCCCTCCATTCCTTCCTTTCTTCCTTCCTTCCTTCTTGCCTGCCTTCCTTCATTCTTTCCTTCTTGCTCTCTTTTAACCTTGGATTTTAATATACATAAAATCATTGTTATATATTATTAAGCATAATTACATGTTATAAATATATATTCATATAATTATATAATTTAAGTGTATATATTGTATATTTCTGTGTATACCTTTATATACAAATTTAGTAATCCAGTCTGCAGGGGTTACCTGCTTTATAGCTTTAAAGTCAACATTCTTACATGTTTTAATAACATATTCTCAATGTCTCCTCACAAAGCCGTTTCTCTGTCAAAATCTTCTGCCGGGTGTGGTGGCTCACAGCTGCAATCCCAGTACTTTGGGAGGCCAAGGTGGGTGGATCACCTGTAGTCAGGAGTTTGAGACTAGCCTGGCTAACATGGTGAAACCCCATCTCTACTAAGAATACAAAAATTAGCTGGATGTGGTGGTGCACGTCTGTAGTCCCAGTTACTTGGGAGGCTGAGGCAGGAGAATCACTTGAACCCGGGAGGTGGAGGTTGCAGTGAGCTGAGATCGTGTCACTGCACTCCAGCCTGGGCAACAGAGAGAGACTCCATCTCAAAAAAAAAAAAAAAAAAAAAAAAAAAGATTCTATTCACACACAAAAAAATGAAAATAAAAAATTAAATTAACATCCTTGTTACTACCTTTGTCACCACATACCAATTCTTATTCTGTGTTTGAGCTTTGGATTAACAGGTTTGAAAACTCTTATCTTTGAAAACTCTTATCTTTGAAAACTCATATCTCACCTGATATGAAAGGTACAGAATCTTTATTTTGAAGACAATTCCAAGTTTACCTTATGGAATCCTAAAATGTTTGATCATAATAATTCCATATTTGAACACAATTCAAACAATAAGAAAGACATACCTAGCAGTGCAGTTTTTATGTCTTTCTCAGAGTAAAAGATACTGTAAGATGTAAACCTCACATTTTGTTATTGGTCTTAGGAGAATTTACTTCATTTATTAACATATTCAAGTTGGTCCCTTTCTATAGTTGCTTCTTATTTTTCAAGCTTATTAAGGAATATTTTGACATTCTTGAATAACATCAGAGCAATTTATGTCATTTGCATTAAATTTGTGAAAGTAATTATCTTGTACTCAAAAACAAAACGATACAAAAAGCACAAGAAACCCAAAAGACAAAAAAATTAAAATAAGAAAATATCAGAGAACCTGATGAACAAATATTTATATTGATTAATAAATGCTTTACTTTGTAATTCTGCACCTAATGTTGTATATTACAACAGGAACCTGTTTGAGATTTTAGTCTGATTACATATGCATTGAATTTTTCTTCCCTGTATTAATGTTTTGTATTTCGAATATTGTTGTGTACTCTAAACACATTGATTTTCACAATTCTGTAAATTAACTTAATAAAAAACCAATCAAAGCATAATTGTGTGATGATTACAGAATTATGTAGTAATTCATCAAGTCAGCTAATTATTATAGATTTGTTTCATGGTTTCCATGTATTTTATTCGATAATTAGTATTAGGTCTAAATAATAATTCTGACATAAGTAGAAAGCAAACCTAAACTTTCTACATCTTTTTATGAACTAAACCCAAAAAAAATCATGCCAAAATAGTGTTTCATTCTTTGTACATTATTAATTAGCAACTAAAGTGTCTTGATCAAACTTTATTGTAAATTTTAGTTTTATTTAATAAATAATTATGGGAATAACATTTGAATTTTATAAAAGGAGGATCTGACAACACATAATTTTAACTTTAATAAATGAGCCTAACAAACAGAAAAAGGATATATATTGTCTTTGATTTAACATCAATTATAATAATTACTTCATAACATAACCACTGGCTGGAGCTCAATGTCTACTGTATTCTTCATTAAACAAGATTTCATTGTAATATTTTATATTACAATGTTATTGTTTTCTTCAAAACAATTTGGTGACTCCAAATAGATCTAAGGCATATCATGTAGTCTTTTTAGTCATAGTCTCTGGAATTAGCTTGTTTAAATTTCATAACAGGATATGGCTGGTGTGTAAAAATGACATATTTTAATAGGTATAATCAAAAATCTATATCTTTTTATAAGCCAATAAATTTAAGCATTTAATTAAATTAATGCAAGCCATTCATGTGTGTATTTTTCTTGAATATTTAACATATAAAATATTTGCATAATGTAAAATTTATCAGTTTTAGTGATTGCTTAATATAATTCCTGAAATAAATATTAATCAAATAATTCAACAAAAATATTTCAATATTTCAGCCACATTATATGACTTTATATCATATTAATTTTATTTTGAAAATTTATTTCTTTTTCATAAGTGCCTTGGATTTTTAAAAATTCTCCACATTAAAATGCAGAATTTAGAGAATTATGTAAATAAGTGACGACTTTAATCAAGATACCTCTTAGACTCGATTCCAGAAAGACAAAATAATTTTTATTTTTTACATAAATTACACAGGCAATTTTCTCAATTGTCCATTTTATCTTGATATTCATGTGGTGTTTAAATTATCTGCTTAACATTGGTGGGTTTATTTGTAAATATAACAACATGAAAAAAGTATAAATATGAATTCGAAAAATGAATATTTTCATATTTTATTTTATTTGAACTGTGCACAAAAATATGCAGTAACATTTCATGATCTGGCAACTGCAACAACAAAACACTACTGGCATCTATGTGAGATGGAAGTCTAGAATAGTTGGAAACATTCCATCACTTTATAGAGTTGTTGCCCTGTGACCATGTTGCTCCCCCGAAGGCCACTTACATTACTGAATGTGGAGAATAAGGAGGAGAGAGAGAGAGGGAATGAAGGGGTAGACAAGGAAAAATGTAAGGCAATAAAGTGAGAAGCACTTGGAAGTCAGGAAGCCTGGGTTTTGATTGTAGCTTTACCTAACGTCATGTGTGACCTTTACCAAGTTACTCAGCCTCTTTGAGTGTTTTCTCACCTGCAAAATGCAGAAACTAATAAAGTCTTCACAGGATTATTATGTGGCTTGAACAAAATAATTTTCATAAACAGCCTACTATAATGCCAGGCATGTTTTATTAAATGGTTGCTTCTTTTTCTTTCTTATTTTCTCTTTGTTCTTCTTTATTTTCTTTGTTTTTTTCTACCTCGCCCCTCCTCTTTTTCATTTTCCTTTTCTTTCCTCCTCCTCCTCTACCTTTCTGCTCCTGTCATCATCATTACTGCAAGGATGGGAAAAGAAAAGACAATAGCAGCTGCTGAGGTTTGGAGTCTGGTGAAGAGTGAGATGTTAGAGAGCCACCTGGTTTGTGCTAGTATGATTTATTATTCTGAAATCTGGGGGGCAGGGAAGATTAAAATTGGTAAATTCTGTTGCTTAAATCTGTGCTTAATAATTTTATCTAAGTCAAAACAAATAGGATGATGGTTAAAAAAATCAGTATTTCCTAAATGTTTAAAAATTAGCAAGTTACACATCTCTATATCCTTCAATTCTGCATAAGAACACAAAACCAAACGCCGCATGTTCTCACTCATAAGTTGGAGTTGAACAATGAGAACACATGGACATAGGGAGGGGAACATCACACACAGGGGCCTATCGGGGGGTGGGGGGCTAGGGGAGGGATAGCATTAGGAGAAATACCTAATGTAGGTGACGGGTTGATGGGCGCAGCAAACCACCATGGCACATGTATACCCACGTAGCAAAACTATAGGTTCTGCACATGTACTCTAGAAGTATATATATAAAACTACATATTGCATATTTTATATATATACTCTAAAGTATATATATATATATATAAATTAGCAAGTTACTTACAAAGAATATACAATTCAAGATATGTCAACAAATACTCAACAGTGTTATCCAAAAATAATTGATCTTGTTCTCAATTGGACATTTCATGGCTTTGGTGAGGAAGACAGATCAAGAATCCATGCTAACAACAGTAAATTTAATGTAGAATACAGAGGAGACATGAAAACTTATCCATGAATGCTGTTGAATCCAGAAAAGGCTCACATTACTAACACCCAGTAATAAAATTACACTGTTTGGAAAATATGGCCAAAATAAAGTTATAATATTATTCTTTGATTATCATGATAACTTAATCATAATTGACTTTTTTTTTTTCTGAAACCTATCTAGTTCCATTTCTCTTGGAAATTCATAGGTTTTTAAAATATCAAAGTAATATATATTGATTATGGCAAAATTAGAATGTAACAATGGTCAAACAAAATTAAAATTGATATAGCACAACCTAAGGTACAAAGAGTAAATGCTTGGTACATACCCACCTATAGTACTATACACCAAAATCTGCACACATACATCTGTACACACATATAGACAAAATGCGAGCATAGTGTCTATATTATTTTGTACCATATATTTAATGTCACATCATGTTAGGTAATTCTTCAATACTAGTTAATTGACTTAAATATAGGAATAACATTTTCATAGCATTCCATTAAAAAGGCTTGGGTCAATCATTTAATTTTCCTATATTGATCAACACTGGTCCACTGTTTAGCTTGGAAAGATTATATTGTGAGAAGGATGGCAAAATATATATAAAATTAGGGGAAGTTTCTTTCTAAAGGCCTCTGTATTTCTGGGTTAAGTCTAATTGTTCTTGCATATCTAAGAGCATGTTTACAATGTCCATTTGTCATTCAGCAGCAACTAAGAACAATATTTATGTAGGTTTACTTAGAACAATTCTTAGTATAAATATTCCACAGTCTTAGCAGAGTTCTTATTTTACCCAAAAACCTAATGATTTTTATGATTTTACTTTTCTTACTTTTAAAAGAGAAATATTTCTTAAAAATTTGAGTGTGCTTTTTAAATTATTAATATCTAAGTGTACTTTAGGAAAGCAACCTCAATAATAGATCCCGACAGCATGTCTCTGGGTACTAAGTTAGTGCTTTCCTTTCAGATAAAGAAAATGAAAAATATTGATTCTTTGAAGTCATGTCAGTGTAGGAAAGGTCAGATATTGACCCTTTGTAGTTTAAAACTTTTTATTTTTTGTCTGCAGATGGCTTTTTCCTGTAAATACCTATTTATAGGAAATAATCCATTTACAAATTTTCCACTTCAGTTATGAACTCTTACGTAAAATAAGCCCCAGGCTCAATAAGCTTTACATAGTGTTATTAAAAACTATCTGTTGCACTTTAACCATATATATATTATATATATCATATATCATGGACATATCATATATGATATATATATCATATAATATATATACATTTATATGTATATATACATTATATATGTATATATCATATATAAACTATATATCATATATATTTATCAGTTTACATATATATCAGTTTTTATATATATATGAGTTTAAAAAGTAAGATATCAAAAAGTAGACACAATAAAATCAGGAGTGACTGAAATTTTGATTTAACATTAAATCATTGCCAAATAATTCTAATACTTTCTACAATTATACGTTTGTACTCAATAAAAGAGTGGCAATCTTTGGTTTTTGTTGTTATTATATTCACATTTCAAAGGATTCTTTTGGTTAGCCCCAGATAAAAATGTTCCAAGTCAAAGTTTCATTTCAGTGATTGGAGAGTCCTTTTCTTTGACAAGTAATGTCTCTTTTAGACCGTCTAACTTTTTTGATATCTTTTAAATACTATTGTGCATCACGAACTCCTTCTGATGTGGTTGATTAACCTGAAGAGAAAATCATCTTGGGTTGTGGCCCATTTCAGAATGATCTGTTGTGACTTCCTTCTGAGATCCACATGTAGTCCATGGAAAAATATACGTCTTAGTTCTGCTCCCACTATTCTGCTCTCACAGTCCACTCCAGAAAAATCTCTAGTCTGTATATTTTTCAGGTGTGAATCAAATACCACTCACCTATGATCTTCAAAGCACAAGGGAAATATGTTAAGCTTTCTAACGGGCCATTCACTTGGCTTGGTTGGAGGAAGAGAAAGATATTGTCATAATATTCCAGCAGCATTCTTCAAATCCTATTTTTCTCAGACCATTTCAACACACTAAACACTGTATACCCTTGAGGGAGGTAATGGGCTAAGGTTTGCAATAATGCTAGATTCAGATATTTTTATTCCATATTCTACCTAAATTTCTATATATGCTATACCAGTTACTCTTCATGTATTTCAGTTAATGTATTACTAATTTATTACAGCATCACAAATTACCTGATGATATAGCTGTTTAAAACAATAAACATGTATTTTCTTTCAGTGAGTGAGGATGAGGGATTTTGGCATGGTTGAACTGAATTCCCTGGCTTAAGGTTTCTCATGAGGTTCCAACTACGGAGTTGGCTGGGACTATAGTCATATCAATGATTTCCTGCTGGGGGATCTTCCAAGCTGATTCACATGCTTTCTGGCAGTCCTCAGATTCTCACTGGCTGTTGTTTATACTTCTATATACAGTATCTGATAAAATGGCAGATGCCTGACCTCTGAGCAAGAAAGATAGGTAGCAAGAGAACTGACATCCTATTACTTTTGTCATATAGTATTCATTAGAAGTGAGTCACTAGGTCTAGCTCTAACAAAAGTCAAGAGTATTAGACAAACTCATGAACATCAGGAGATAGGGCCATTTCTTAATGTTTACTACCACAGTTAGTCATTTATCATCGTTCAGTCTTCAAACAGTAATTATATATTTTTATACACCAATGGTCAATTTTTAGAGCACTAAGACCTGTGATTACTCCCTGGGGATACAAAGTTGCACGCTATCTGCCTTAGAATTCTACCTAGAATTTAGATATTGAATGTTTCACTCTTCTCCATGTAAATGAGGATATGTGAGATACCCGAAGGCAAAGTAGAAAGTCTTCCCATTAAAATTTAACTTAGATAAACAGCTTGTCATTTGTGATGCAGAAATTGCATTAAAGAATTTGATGCTCTTGAACAACATGTTAAAGTCATTTGCTTGTTTATAATATTTCAATTGTCCAATAAGGAATTAAAACGAAACAAAATTTAAAAATATATAAATGTTTTGTGTATCAGTTTTTTATTGCTGCTGTAACAAATTACCACAAATGAAGTAGCTTTATATACAACGAATTACTAACTTACTTCTGGAGGTCAGAAGTTCAAAATGAGTCTCATTGGGCTAATATCAAAGGATTATTAGGGCTATATTCCTCTTTGGAGACTAGTCTCAATTTTTTTTTTTAATTTTGTTTTTTTTTTTTTTCTTTCAGCTCTTAAGAGTTGCTTGCATTTGTTTGCTTGTGGTCCTCTTCCATCATAAAAGCCAGCAATGGTTGGTTGAGTCTTACTCTGACACTGACCCCTGTAAATTTCTCTTTGGTATATAAGGCCCCTTGTGATTACATTGGGTCTTCCTGGATAATACAGGATAATCTCATAACAAGGTCAGATGACTAGCAAACTTAAATCCACCTGCAACCTTAATTCTTTCTTGTCATGTGACGTAACATATTAATAGATTCTGGGAATGAAAATGTGAACAAATTTGCAGGGCTAGTATTCTGTCTACCATATTTTGAAACGTAGGATTTAATTGATGCAAGCTTGGTATACATTTTCAATGTACATCATATATGGTGTGATTCTTTTAGCAACTGCAGAGCTGATCCATGTTTACTTATTAAATAAATAAATAAATAAACATATATGTGTCAGCTCAAGTTCTTATAGCTGTTATACAAAGCCAAGGAGGTTTAGTCTCCTTAGCCAAGAGAAGTGAAATACAACTACCTCACACTTTTATTTGAAAGCCCTGGTGACTTGGAACCTTTTGATTGCATCTTCTTTGTTGATTTTCATACCCCAAGTATATTTCCTTCATTTTTTATTCTTAAATTACAGTAGATAGCATGTGAAAATATATGAAGGAAAATAATGAGACCAGAGAGACTATTAAACTGGTAGCAACGGGAAGAATCAAAAGAGTGATACTTGACAAGCTAAATCTCTATTATGGAGGAGCATTAATGTAGTGAATAAAGGACACTGTTTACCTTCTTTATGAGAAGATCACCAGTCTCCATTTTTCTATTGGTCCTGATGATATGGTTTCTGTTCTTTATAGCTTCAAGGATTTCAGTTATCTGAATGTGTTGCAATGCAATCTGAAAAGGTCCATTAAGTAAACTCCCTATTATCTGCCCCCTATTTTTAAGTTTATGTTACCTATTTCAGTGAATGCCTTCACACACAGTTTCTAAAAACGTGAACTCATCTCTGGCTTTTTATTCTTCCTCATCTTCCAACTTAAAACTTTCAAATCCTGTCAATTCCACCCCTTCACCTCCATCCTCACTTCCAGAACATACCTCAGGCCTCCTTGGCACACACCTCCTTATTTTCTGCTTCTTCTGCTTTCCATTTATCTTTTATATTTTTTCATAAATACATTTTCAAAACTCATATATGATTGTAATAGTGGCCTACTTTATTTATGACACTCTGTTTACAAGACAACAAATTATGAACTCCTGAGTCTTCCATTCAGGACCTTTAATAATTTGGCTTGAGGCAGTATTTTCAGACTCATTTGCAATTGCACCTCGTTATATATCCAGTATCTTAATCCACCTGGCTTATCTGTAGTTTATACCACATGCACGCCTACTTTTGGATCTTTATTCAAGGCTGCTATTAGGCATGTCCCTTTTCTCTGCTACATTTTAGGTTTCTATAATTACCCAAGCAAACTGGGAATTCTCCTTAGCTTCCCTCACCACACCCCAACCCAATGTAAGTGAAATCAAACTCTGTACTACCACTGTCCCCTAAATTTTATTTTGAAATCTCTAGTGTAACAGTAGTCCCTTCCTTCCTTTCTTCCTTCCTTCCTTCCCTCCCTCCCTCTCTCCCTCTCTCCCTCCCTTCCTCACCAGTTTGGCCAGAAAGTGTTTATGTTACAATTAAACCATCATTGACTAGAGACTGTTCATTTAAATTTAGGTGATGCCCTATGTCTATTCACAGTGTATGTAGATATTTAAAATTACCCTCAGCTTGGGAGAAAAGGACATTGAGTAGTGGGAAAAAGTCTCACCCACAGCTGTTATACAAATGTACAGACCAATATCTGGAGAAGATAGCATGTTTTCAAATATTTTCATCTCTTTGTCAGTCTCCACCAAATAGACCCTCAGGGGCTCTCACTGTCGTTTGGATGAACACTCTCCTGAAGGCTTGGAGACATCTAGAGTATGAGTTAGCCACTCACTGCAGATTTAATAAATGTACAAATAAATGAGTTTGAATGAAAAATAAAACACCTCAATCTGACTGTTCTTTTTTGCTTTTCTCCCAGATGTGCACTGACCCATTACTTACAACAAACTTAGACTATAAATTCTCGCATTTATGTATGCTTTGAGTTCTGTGAGTCAGACTTTGCCTGAATAATTTTAAGAGTCTCTTGGGGGTTAAAAGAGATGAAAAATTACATGTTCTTCTGGAGACTAGTATTGTATCAGTTATTATTACTGGACTTCATTCTCCTGATACCAGTCCCTCCCCTGTGACCATTTTTATTACACAATTGTTATTATTTAACTTTCTGAGTACTAAGTGTGTGCTATGGTGTAGTACATGACACAAATAAGACATTATTCCTTCTCAGGGTTTGCAATGTAAGTAATCAAGTTCAATATTTAGTAATTAGTGTTCTTTTATGCATACACATGCAAGTACACACACTACACAAATACATATAAGTACAAATATATATGTATCTATACCAATACATCAAATAATTGCCAACTCATACACTACTTCTCTGCCTAAAAAGGACAATTTTTTTAAAAAAGCATATATGGCAAGTATTTAATAGCAATTTTAAATCATAGAAACTATTTTTCTATTTCTATTTTGTATACAGAATTCAAACTAATTAAAGAATTTCATGATTTTTCCCTATAGATGGGCTTTGGCACTACTATCGTGTCCGAAATTGGTGAGTTCTTGATCTGACTGACTTCAAGAATGAAGACGTGGACCCTCGCGGTGAGTGTTGCAGTTCTTAAAGATGGTGTGTCCGGAGTTTGTTCCTTTTGATGTTAGGATGTGTTCGGAGTTTCTTCCTTCTGGTGGGTTCGTGGTCTGGCTGGCTTCAGGAGTGAAGCTGCAGACCTTCGCGGTGAGTGTTACAGCTCTTAAGGCAGCACATCTAGAGTTCTTCCTTCCTCCTGTCTGGAGTTGTTCATTCCTCCTGGTGGGTTCGTGGTCTCGCTGGCCTCAGGAGTGAAGCTGCAGACCTTTGCAGTGAGTGTTGCAGCTCATAAAGGCAGTGCGGACCCAAAGAGTGAGCAGCAAGATTTATTGCAAAGAGCGAAAGAACAAACCTTCCACAGTGTGGAAGGGGACCCAAGGGGGTTGCTGCTGCTGGCTCTGGCAGCCTGCTTTTATTGCCATATCTGACCCCACCCATATCCTGCTGATTGGCCCATTTTACAGAGAGCTGATTGGTCCGTTTTGACAGGGTGCTGATTGGTGCGTTTACAATCCCTGAGCTAGACACAGAGTGCTAACTGGTGTATTTACAATCCTCTAGCTAGATGTAAAATTTCTCCAAGTCCCCACTAGATTAGCTAGACACAGCACTGATTGGTGCGTTTACAAACCTTTAGCTAGGCACAGAGTGCTGATTGGTGCATCCATGAACCCCGAGCTAGACACAGAGTGCTGATTGGTGCATTTATGATCCTTTAGCTAGACAGGAAAGTTCTCCAAGTCCCCACCAGATTAGCTAGAAACAGAGTGCTGATTGGTGCATCCACAAACCCCAAGCTAGACACAGAGTGCTGATTGGCGCATATACAATCCTCCACCTAGACATAAAAGTTCTCCAAGTCCCCACCAGACTCAGGAGTCCAGCTGGCTTTGCCTCGTGGATCCCGTGGGGGGCCGCAGGTGGAGCTGCCCACCAGTCCTGCGCCACGTGCCCCGTGCTCCTCAGGCCTTGGGCAGTCAAAAGGACCGGATGCCGTGGAGCAGGGGGCGATGCCCGTTGGGGAGGCTCTGGCCCGTTTGGGGAGCCCACTGTGGGGGATCTTGGGCATGGCAGGCTGCATGTCGGAGCCTTGCCCCGCGGGGAGGCAGCTGAGGCCCCGCGAGAATTTGAGCGCGGCGTGGGCGGGTCTGCAGTGCTGGGGGACTGGGCGCCCTCTCCGCAGCTGCTGGCCCGGGTGCTAAGCCCTTCACTGCTCGGGGCTGGCTGTGCTGGCCTGCCGCTTGAGCCAACGCCCACCTGGAACTCCCGCTGGCCCACAAGCACCCTGTGCGCGCCTCTCCCTCCACACCTCCCGGCAAGCAGAGGTAGCTGGCTCCAGCCTCAGCCAGCCCAGAGAGGGGCTCCCACAGTGCAGCAGCTGGCTGAAGGGCTCCTCAAGCGTGGCCAGAGTGGACACTGAGGCTGAGGAGGTGCTGAGCGCCAGCGAGGGCTGCCAGCACATTGTCACCTCTCACTACCACATATTACCCAAATGCCTCATCTATTGAACAGCCTCCTCTGATAGTTTAAAACTAGAAGAATCCTCACATGGACAACACAAAGGCTTTAGCAGATAATTGAAGTGGAGGCATAAACTAATATACATGAATTTCATAGAATTTAGATCTAGATTAAATGTCTATCAAGGCTGTTAGAGGAAGAGTATTTGTATAATCATTTAATAGACCAAGAAAATACACCATTTGGTAGAGCTTTTACACATTAACTGGCTAGTACAGGAGCTCATGTGAGGTGTATGTGCCCAAAGGCATGCTTTATTTTCATGGTAATTAGTAAGGTCAAATGGACTTTATTAAAACTAGTCTAAATGTGAGGCAAGCAAAGAGAAGTAGTAGGCTGTATGGTTATAAGAACAGATAGAGACAGAAAGAAGTTAAGTCACCAGACGGGCAATCACAGAGCCAGATACTTGGCTTTATCTGACAATAGTTTCCTGAACTAAGACCCAGTCCTGCCTGAGGCCCAAACTAAGAGCTGGTCCTGTGACTGCAGAGACACTGTGCTCTGCTGCCCTAATTCCACCGTAAGTTTGTGTCATATGTCCTCAATACTTAAGATAATTTTAAAAATGTCTCTACTGTTCACAGCATAAGAATCCCAAGGAAGGAAAGGTGAGAAGTAGAGAAGGAAGGAGAAAAAATAAAAGGAAGAGGGGGAAAGATGGAGGCAGGGAGGGAGAGACAGTGGATGTAAGCAGGTAAGATGGGATATTAGAGTATCTGGAGGATCCATCAAAGGGAATGAGGGTGTAAGATTATAACATGGAAATGCAGATTTATTTTAATTACACAAGTAATTTTGAGCATACTCATTATAAAATTTTGAAATTAATAAAAATAGTCTTCAAGATATTTTAAATAAACTTTATTTTTTAGAGCAGTTTTAGGTTCACAGTAAAATTGAACACAAAGTCCAAAGAGTTTCTACAAATCCCCATCCACATACATGCATATCCTCTCTCATTGTCAACATCCTGTAGCAGAATGGTAAATTTGTTACAATCATGAAACTACAATGACTTGTCTTGTCTTGTTGAGGATGTTTGCATATACACTCATGTGAGACATTGGTATGTAGTTTTCTTTTATTTTAATATTGTGCTGTTTTAATACTAGTCTCATTGAATGAGTTAAGAAGTATGCCCCCGATTCTGTCTTCTGAAAAAGATCTTAAAGAATTGTTATAATATTTTTCATAAATGTTTTGTAGATTTCACAAGTGGACCCATCTGGGACTGGTACTGTCTATTTAGGAAGGTTATTAATTATCGATAGTATTTCTTTAATGCATATGAGTTATTCTGACTGGCTATTTCTTCTTGTGTGAATTTTCGCAAATTAGGTTTTCCAGGCAATTTTTTTTCCATTTCATCTAGGTTATTAAACGTGTGGCTATAAAGTTGTTTATGTTATTTCTTTATTATTCTTTTGATGTCATGGAATCTATATCGGTGTCACCTCCTCATATCTGGTATCCAAGGCATGTTTAAATTTTAAAAGTAATATATTGGACATTGTGTGAAATTAGAAAAGAGTAAAAATATTTACCTCTAAATCTCTGTATTTACCTATCTATCATCTCTCTCTCAATCATCTACGTGTATTTTCAAACTCATTGGCTGTCATCATTGAGACACTCAGAATTTTCACCATATTGTTTAAATTGCTACTACTGAAAGTTATTATCTATTCTGCAAATTCGGTTTTTAAAAAGTTCGACAATCTAGAAACTGAAACCAGAATTTTACTTTATGTAGAATTAATAATCAGTTTTGGGGTAGATTATTTAAATGCAATGTCTGTAAAACTTTCATAAAAATCTTGTATCTTTTAAAATAGCACTAGCGTTTATTTTTAAAATGATACTAACCTCTTTTTAAAATCTGTTTGAAAAACGTTGAAGTCAGACTTATAAAACTATCCTATAATTTATGTGTCCTTTCATCAATTAATTCAATATGTATTTAAGTATTATAGCCTTTTTCCTACAAACATATATATATATCTCCAATATGTAAAACAAATAAAAAATGAAGTTTTTCTGATGAACACAGGAGAAGCAGCTTGAAAGATACTTTCCCAGTTTCCTTCTCATATAACTTGACTGATCTGCAACACCTCTACAGAATGTCATTGTTCCTTAGAGCAGTACAAAACCCACTATCCTATTGTTGTTTCAGAACCGTACCCATTTCTTTATATGCCTCTTTCTGAACCATTTTCTTAACAAGTCTGATGGTTAGGTTCTTTGTTACTGAATGAAAAGAATACACAAGAAAGGACTGCATTCCACTGCTATTTGAATTTTCTTATTTTCATGCAATTGATGTATTATGAGCAACCAGAAATCTGACTTTCCTTTTTGCTTTGCTGTACTAAGCCACCCAAGCTTTAGCCTATACGGAGTTGTGTTAAAAGAAAAACCTTAAATTTAACAGAATTTAATCAAGCAAAGAATGATTCACAAATTGGGCAGCCCCTGAACCAAAATAGGTTCTGAGATGATCCAGTGCTGTCTCTCTGTCAAAGAAGATTCATCGATAGAAAAAGGAAAGTGACATAGAGAAAATGGAAGTGAAGTACTGAAACAGCCAGATGGATAACAAATTGGCTTTTGCCTTATTTTAATACAATTTTAACAGTTGGCCATGGTTGATTGGCTGAAACTCAATGATTGGCAGAAGAGTAGATTACGGTCTGTTTACACATCCAGTTAGATATAGTTCACTATGTACAAAGAAATCATTAGGCTGAATTTAAAATATGTAAGGAGGCAGCGTTAGGTTAAACTTAACAGTTGTATTAAGTTAGGCATCAAATCAGGGTTAGCATTTTCTTCCTTTTACTTAAATTCTTCTTCACTGTTTTATTATCAGTGTCTTTTGGTCTTTTCATCTACTTGTGTAAAACTCTACGTTGATCCTTTAGTGCTCTCAACACCTTCCCATGTTCTTGACATCCTGATCTTGATACTTTTAAGTAATATAAAAGATGCCTTTCTTGGATTTCAGGTGTCCTGAAAGAGGACATTGTCATCTTGATCAATCATCATTGAGAATGCTTCAGGAAATGGTCTTTTGGTGTCCTAGCTTTACCTAGTACCCATTTCTCTTGCATCAATTTAGTGCCCTGAAATAGCCAGAGGCTGTTATTTACTGTAAAAAGTGAAGTAGAGGTTCCTCTTCAAAGACTTTCCTCCCTATCTAATTAGGAATACATAGTAACTTCTCTTAAAAGCAAAATTTATTCAAAGACCCGTACTAACATTCTTAAATATCTGCTAGCTGTAATAAAGAAATCAATGTACTTTATGTTCTTAGCTCCCACAATTTAGCCTAAATATTTACCCTCTCATGCTTATACTGGTCCAAGCAAGCATTAGGTCATAGCCTGTTCCTGTTCCTTATTTGAAGGTGTTTTTACCTTTCTCAGCATTCCACAAGTTACTTCCTCCTTCTTTAGTTCTCCTCTGCCTTGCCTCTTTTAAAAAGTTCTAAGTTGCTAGCCAATTGAGACAAATACAAAATGTGATGTCCCGTTCCAGCCAGTGGAAACCGGACACAGCAGTGGGAGGGACGCGTCAGATTATAAATGAACCTGTCTCCTTTCTTCAGTGTACTCTCCTGGCAAAACTGCTGGCAAATGTACCCTTTCTGTAGAAAGTATAAAAATGGCCTTGCTGAGAAAATTAAGTTTATGTTCAAGTGCTATTTCTTTACGGCACTGGGGAACAAGCATTTCTAAAATTTACTTTATCCTTAAGCAGAAGAAATATCTTTATTTTTAAAATTATTTTTAATATATTTTTTAAAAAATTCTTAAAATAAAAAATATAATTTTTCCCAGGTTTGCTTTAGTTTTCTTTTTTAATCAAATGATAAAGATACAGATAAGACTTACACATTCCATTCTTTCCTCTTGGAGATAGCCTCTTAGTGATAGCCTCTTATTAAGATGGTGTGATACATTCCCATTTATGTTTTTATACATTCATACACATATGCATATTTCTCGAATATATATTACTGTTTTGTATGAGAAAAAATGTTTGTAAATTGAATATATCCTGAAACATTTTTTATCTCAACATAATGCTTATAAAATTTTATCCATCTTATTTCTTGTATTTCTGTTTTATTCATTTTAACTCCTGAATGAACTTTAAGTATTCACTATAGATAGATCATCACTTTGAGGGATGGCATGCAAATGATGTCAGTATCTACGAACGTTTTCTCTTGAATGGTTCAGTCTATTACAGTGCAATCTTCCAATCTCTTTCTGAGGTATATACCATTGTCGCTGTTCCCCAGGTGACTAGTAAAGTCTCTCCAATTAGTATGTGGAATTTCTCCCCTTAACTTCCCTGATTTCTGTATGTTACTCAGCTGTGCTTGCTGTCTTAGAAAACTCTTCGTATAGGACATAAGATGTTTTCCAGGATAACAACCTCCAGCTGTCTGATTTCAGAGAGGTAGTAGCCTGGCAATATTAGATTAAGAATGTGTGTAGAGGATTCTAGCTTCTTTAAACATTTTTTTCTATTTGAATCACCTCCCCATGGCACTACTTTATTTATTTATTTATTTAATTTATAAAAAATTTAATTTTGAGACAACTTCTTGCTCTATTGCCCAGGCTGGAGTGCAGTGGTACAATCCCTGCTCACTGCAAACTCCACCTCCTGGGTTCAATAATAATAATTATTGTTATTTATTTTCTATCAGTTACGTGAAGGTTTGGGGGCAATATGAAATAAATATGTCAAAGTTACCACATTCTTCTGTACTATTTTCAATAGAAGATAATAAATTTTAATTTTTTCTTCAATGATTTTGATCTGTTCAGTTTTTTCTTCTACTTATATCAAATGCTAAGATATAGCATTTAAAAATCATCTATTTCAAGAAAGTTTGAAAATCTTTTCAGAATAAAGCCACTTATAATAATGAAATATAATTATTATAATTTGTATAATCTTATAATTAATATAATTATAAATATAATGACATATAAGTGAAATAATGAAATAATATAACAATAACAATAATATAAATAATAATAACAATAATCATAACAGCAACAACAATTTAAAAATACAAACTCATACAGACAGAAAACAGGAGAAAAATTAGTAGTAGGTAAGAGATGGCTACATTTTGGGACTAACATTCGTGAATGAAAAATTAGGAAAGATGATTGCCTACAATGCTGCTATAAAGACACATGCACACGTATGTTTATTGCGGCACTATTCACAATAGCAAAGACTTGGAACCAACCCAAATGTCCATCAGTGATAGACTGGATTAAGAAAATGTGGCACATATACACCATGGAATACTATGCAGCCACAGAAAAGGATGAGTTCATGTCCTTTGTAGGGATGTGGATGAAGCTGGAAACCATCATTCTGAGCAAACTATTGCAAGGACAGAAAACCAAACACCGCATGCTCTCACTCAGAGGTGGGAGTTGAACAATGAGGACACTTGGACACAGGGTGGGGAACATCACACACCAGGGCCTGTCATGAGGTGGGGGGAGGGGGGAGGGATAACATTAGGAGATATACCTAATGTAAATGATGAGTTAACGGGTGCAGCACACCAACATGGCACATGTATACATATGTAACAAACCTGGATGTTGTGCACATGTACCCTAGAACTTAAAGTATAATAAAAAAAAAAAAATTTCATTCAAGCTTTATTTTATTCAATATTTATTAAGTATCTATTATATGCCATGCTTCATTTTTGATATGTGGGATATGTCAGTGAATGATGGTGATCTCTGCCTTCATGAACTTCACATTCTAGTGGAGGTGGAATGGACAATAAACAACAAAAATGACTAGTTCATCAATTGTATAGTATCTCAGAATATAATCATTGTTATGACAAAAAGTAGAATGGTTCATGGTAACAAGGCAGTGTTTTTATAAATATATGTACATGAAGAGATTACCAACCAAACAGATATGCTGAGGATTTTATTTATGATTTTTTACTGAACATTCATTATGTGCTGTGTGATACATAAGTCTGTGTCCAAAATTGATCAGAATAAGTTTCATTAAAATCCAATTTTATAAATACACTTCTTATGATAAAGTAAATCTATTAAAAATAACCACAGAATGACCTTAGTTTCTAAGCATAATAATTAACAAGTAACTTAAAACCTTTGCTGAAGTATGAAAAAACTGTGAGTGAATCAGACTTCATGGATCTTGTAGTTTTTTACTTGGATTAAATTCATTTAGCAAATGACCATTTTTATAATGAAAGCAATTTATAACTAACTGTTTAGAATGAGTTAAATATTGCTTAAGTACTTCATGTTTGCTATAATTCAAGTAGTTTCAATACTTGCTTTGAATAAAAAGGTAGAATTTCAAACAATGTTTTTAGGGAATAGAAACATACACAGTAGACTATAATTTCATCTATTAAAGAAATAACGGAAAGCTATGTTTATTAACTTGCTTTGAAACATTGAGTGAAACCATACATTACTATCACTGTGGCAGTACCCCTAGTGGAATACATGTCACTAGATGTTTGTAAATTTAAATACAAAATATTCAACAAAACTACACTAATAGTTAATTTACTGCTTTTGCTATCAAATACCTTACCTTGCCATCCTATCCTTCACAGTACTAAATAGCACAGTGTTGCTTAAGAAAAAGAGATTGCTGAGTGTAGCTGCATATGATATGACCTCCATTTGATGTAAGTGTCAATTTCTTTAATGGAAAGTACTTAGAATTGCAGCACAATTGATTTTGTTTATTTTCTATAGTGGGCAAAGAGTGTTCCTACTTTGATTACTATTGCAATCTTAAAGACATGTTCAAAACTCCTGAGAAAGAAAACAATACCAATAACTAAACACAATTTATCTTTTACAATAGCAAGTTGTGTATTATACCTGAGCACAATTAACATAATTAAAACAAGATTTAAATCTCACTTTGAAAATTGGCCAAACATCACTTTCTTTATGCAAGAATGTTCAGTAAATGCTCCATAAAAACTTATCTTATCCTTCCAATTCAATGCTTCATAAAATGACAGCAGAATCTAGAGGACATGTATTACATTCAAAATAAATATTTAAAAAGTTATAAATGTATATTTCTTATGCTTTAATGACTACATGAAGACATTTCAGTTGCAATATTTGGCATTCACATCATATAGCTATGCTCCATATATTATTTAAACATTTTAAAATTACAGTTAGTTAAATTCTGTTCTATGACATTTTGTTCTATATAACTGGTAAGGGAATTTTAAAACCTAAGAAGTTTTGTTAAAAATTTTATTTTTATAATGAGGAAGAATGAGTTAAGTTACAGCTATGATAATGATGATAGATGATAGATAGATAGATAGATAGACCTATGGTTTCAATATTTGAGTCCTCCAAATGTCATGTTGAAATTTGATCCCCAAAGTTGGAGGCTGGGGTCTAATGGGAGGTGTATGGGTCATGGGGGCAGATCTCTCATGAATACATTAATGACCTTCCTCTGGGGTAAGTGAGTTATCACTTTATTAGTTCCTAGGGGAGCTAGTCATTAAAAAGAGGCTGACACCTTCTCCCTCATCTGCCTCTTACATCCTCTCTCCCCATGTGATCTCTTCACAGCCAGCTCCTCTTCGTCTTCCATCATGAGTGGAAGAAGCCTGAGGCCCGCACCAATTGCAGTTTTCCAATCTTGAGCTTTTGCAGACATCAGAATCATAAGCCAAATCAACCTTTCTCTTTATAAATTACCCAGCCTCAGATATTCCTTTATAGTAACAGAAAATGAACTAAGATAAATAGGTAGATACACACACACACACATACACACACAGCATAAGTATTAGTGGGGTTCAAGATTGCACATAATTTTTAGACAATAGCTTTGTGTTTATATGGGGTATTCCTGGAAGTATGAGAGACACAAAAACAAGAGAAATATTTCCTAAAAACATAAATATACTATTTTGTAGATAATTTGGGTTAAAACTGCACTCCTAAAGACAAATACCTTAACTGTTATTGTTTGCTTCAAATAAATCTATCAATGTATTAAGTAGTAGCTAAAGTAAATACAGAGATTCTTAGCCAAATTGGCATGAATACATTAACCAAGAAAGGACTTTATTAAATAAGTGGCTGCAACAGAATGAAAATGAAAACATTTCAACCTGATAACATTAATGAAATAGTTACAGATGAGACTATTATCACAGCAATTTACATAATTTTTTAATGCATAAAATCTTTTTTCCTTCAAAAATGTTGCTACTTTCCAGAACTTTGAACACATAAAATGTTAAGAAGTAGGCAGTTCCAGCCTTTACTTTTCTTTGTAATTTTTGTTACCGAACTCAAATATGGATTCCACATTGAACACGACAAAAAACATTTATTTGCCATCAGATATTAGTTTTAAAAGGTTTCCATTGCAGCTTCACTTGCTTTGCTTCTGAATAATGATAGCGATAACAGTAATACAAACCTGTGCAAAGTCCTCTGCTTCCAAACTAAGCATTTATATGTAATATTTTATTTAATCCTCATGACAGTCTTGTTAAGATTTTATTATTAGACTCATTTATGCAAGTGACAACCATGTAAAACTATGTTATAATAAATTATTAAAAAATAATATTAATAAATTATATTTAAATACTTTCCAAAGTTTTGTATATATCAGATGAAATAAAGGGACTTAACCCAAACCCATTGGGTTGCATCAAATATTTTCTTAAAAGTCACGAATATGTAGCATATGTAACAATGCTTAATAAATCACTGAATACTTACAATGTGCCAAGATAAGTGAGAAAATTAGTATTCAAGATAAACGATATAATAGAATGTCCAAAGAATATAGGTGGCAGATGAATAAAATAAACGATTATAATATAAAGCAAAGTGACAAAAATTTCAACTACACTAAATCTGAAGTATGGCAGACAGATAGTATTATTATGGCATTACCAAGAACTATCCTTAGAAATGTCAATGGATTGCAATTGACCGTCTCTCCTAACTCAGTCTTTATGAAGGCAAGAATATAAACTTATTCACTACTAATATTATTATCTAAACATAAAGAGCATTTAAAAGATTTGTTGAATAAATTAATGAGGATTTCTGAGCTTCACCTGAGTTTCTCTTCCTTACATTGTGGCCTGGATACACATTACAATATTATAGGAATCAAATTATTTTTTCCCAATTTCTAAGAAATCACTATTCTTTGTTGCCTGATGTCCCATGTATTTTGTCTATTTTTTTGTGGCTGTTTCAGAACACCTTGTTCCTTTTATTCCCCCTTCCCTTTCCCTTCTCTCTTCTGCCGCCTTATAAAGTAGGTGGCTTCTTCCCATTTTACCATAATTGTTAGTTTCCTGAGGCGTCTTCAGCCATGTGGAACTCTGAGTCAAGTTAAACTTCTGTTGTTTATAATTATCTAGTCTCGGGTATATCTTTATAGCAGTGTGAGCATGGACTAATACAGTTTGTCATGCTACTTTTGTGATTATATCTTGTTCAATATAATCTCAAGCACTAGATCACATGCTCTGTGACAGTATGTATCTCGTCTATTTTGCTAAACACTATATACACTGGTCCTAAATCTGCTGCTGAAGATCTGAACTTCCAAGGTAAATGTTACAAAAAATATTTTCTATTTGTTTTGTTTATGATATTAAAAAACTCTTATTTTAACAATAATTTCTAAATAAAATAAAATTAAATGCATTTCAAAATTAACTATATTTGCAGTCAGTCAATAAAAAATCTAAAAAGCACATTTGAAAATTTCCGGCTGAACAAATCGTTATAAAGAGCAGCAATATAACATTATAATGCATGTGATTAATGTTGCTTCTGGATTTTTAGCCAACCTGTTTTAAGAAAGACTTGACATAGAAGGGGAGTTACAAAAAAAAAAAAGATAAAGAATATTTGCAACCATTGCATTATCTCACTTTACACTATTTTCAAAACATTGCATGCAAATGTTTGGATTTTTTTCATTAATTTGCGCTTGAAGAAATTGTTATTTGCTAGTAGTATGTCATTTATTTGGTGGTATAGTTTACTCATTTGCTTAGATGCAACCTTAAAATAGAATTAATTACTTTATAAACTTTAAGCATTAAGAAATTACTAAAGTTTTGAATGGAAGCATCGTCCTAGGTTGGGATAATCTTAGATAATTATTAAATAAATTATTTAATATATGACTTATATAAAACATTAAATAGGAGAAAATAATAAAAGGAATCAGTAAAATATTGAGAATATCTAATAAAAATACATCATTTTAAGTAATTCTATTTTTTTCTAAAATTAAGCAAGGCAATTTTATGTAAATATATACTATTTAAACATGTCCTAAAATATGTGAGGCTTTTTAGCATTTAAGCAATTAATTTTCAACACTTCAGATTACTGACTATGAAAGCTCTTAATTTAAGAATTTAATGATGTTTAGAAGGGTAATTATTATCTTATTTTAGAGATTGGTTTGCTTGCTAACTGTTTTGTTTATTTTACTCTGTTAACTGAAATGGAATGATTTTATGCAAATCCAAAGTTAAACATTTAAATATGCAAAACTCAGTAGATGAAAAATAAGATATTTAGAGCAAAATTTTCTCATCAATATAATAAAAATACTCACCTCTGTATTTTTCTTCTCTTTATTATGTGCATTGATAACTGTATGACATTTGAGGGTTTTTTTAATAATATGAAAATGTGGTTGACAGAATGGATAATGCACCAATGATGGTTTGATTGTGGCTATGTAATTTTTTGTAACTTCTTTTATATGATGTATTTCTTTCCTTATTTACAGGATTTGTTTCTAACTAGTTTATTTTCACTAAAACACAATATCTGAAAAAAAACTCTTCTTCCATTCCAGCATATTAGGAAAATTACTCTTGATACCATTATAGGAGATCCAGGACTTAGCTCAGAGCCCTACGATTGTCTTCTCCATCTCTCCTCCAGTTTTCTGCAAATTAAAATCCAGTTGCTCTGTCTGCAAAGTAGATTTCCAGATGTGTTCCATGTCTAAGTTTTTAAAAAGGCAGATGAAGCATAAAAATGGAAAAGACTTGAAAAAATGAAAACCAAAATATAAAGCAGGTAGAGCTCAATGTAATGCATACAATTTTGCTTTAATGTTCTTACTGACACCTGTTAGGGTCAATATAAATGACAAAACGGTTAATTAGTACTATTAAATAATATTTTATTTTAAAATTCACCCATTATGGCTTTTTTAGTGATTAGTCATTCAATTTTCCTAGCGTCAAGTCATTAAAAAATATGTTATAGGCCTGTGAAATCTGAGACATAGATATTTGTTTTTACAAGAGCTTAAATAGTGAGAAAGATGAACAATGAAGACTTCCTGCAAGTAAGAAAATAAACAATTATAATTACCACAATGTCAACAATGATCAAAATTTTCTTTAAAAGGATCAAAAAAGATAGAGAAGCCCTAAGAAATCTTTCAACTTTTCTTTAGCTATAGATAAACTTTATAGAAGAAGAAAATGTAGGCACTGCCACTCAGTTATCAAAATATGCCATCAACATTTAAACAGCTCCTTCTTCTCTTTCTTTCAGGATTACTAATTTTATAATTTGAAATTAAAAGTCTGCCAGATCTATTGGAATAATCACACCGAGTATTTAAAACAACTGTGATTAAGATGCTGGGACACCAATGGATAAAGTAGACGTCATACAAGGCCAGATGGACAATGTAAGTGGAGAGATGAAAATTGTAAGAAAGAACCAAGAAGAAATGCTAAAGATCAAAAATACTGTAACAGAAATGAAGAATGCCTTTCATGGGCTTATTGATAGACTCGATACAACTGAGGAAGGAATCACTGAGCTTGAGGATATATCAATAGAAACTTTGAAAATTAAAAAGCAAAGAGAACAAAAACAAAAATAGAAAAGAATACTCAAGACCTGTGGGAAACCTATAAAATGTATACCATACATATAATGAGACTACCAGAATGACAAGAAAGACAGAAAGGAACAGAACATATATTTGACCCAATAAAGATTGGAATTGTCCCCCAGGTTAATGTCAGATGCCAAATCATAGATTCGGGAAGCTCACAGAATACCGAGCAAGATAAATGCCAAAATCTCTACAGCTAGGCATATTATTTTCAAACTTCAGGAAAGCAAATAAAAGAAAAATTTCTGAGAGAAGCTGGAGGAATAAAACACCTTACTTACAGAATAGAGGAACAAAAATAAGAATTACATTTGAGTGTTTTCAAAAACCAAGCAAGTGAAAAGAAAGTGGAATAAAATATTTAAAGTATTAAGAGACCCACCAACCTATAATTCTGTACCCTGTGAAATTATTTTTCAAAAATGAAGAAGAAATAATCTGAGACAAGTAAAAATTTAAAGAATTTGTTGCCATTAGACCTGCCATACAAGAGATGTTTAAAAAGGGTCTTTAGAGAAAAGGAAAATGATAAAGATCAGAAACTCAAATATGCATAAAGAAAAGACAGCTGGGCACAGTGGCTCACACCTGTAATCCCAGCATTTTGGGAGGCCAAGGTGGGTGGATCACTTGAGGCCAGGAGTTCAAAACCAACCTGGCTAACATGGTGAAACCCTGTATCTATTGAAAATACAAAAATTAGCCAGGCATGGTGGTGCCCACCTGTAGTCCCAGCTACCTGGGAGACTGAGGCAGGAGAATCGCTTGAGCCCAGGAGGTGGAGGTTGCAGTGAGCCGTGATCGGGCCACTGCACTCCAGTCTGGATGACAGAGCAAGACTCCATCTCAAAATAAACAAACAAACAAACAAATAAATAAATAAAATAAAAAGAAAAGAAAACCATTGAAGAAGGAAAAAGTAAAAATAAAACAAAAACCTGTATTTGTCATTTTCTTCGTCATCTAACAAATAAGTTTGTTCAAAATTATAATAGCAACAATGTACTAAATTATGTATGCTTACATATACACTTTATATTTATATAAAAATATATCTTATATATATAAAATATATATAGCATATATATATAAGTAAATGAATAACAGTAACGATACAAGGAATGAGAGGATGGAATAGGATTATTTTGTGATTATATGGTATTCGTACTACCTGTGAAGAGGTATAGTGTTATTTCAAAGAGAACTTGAATAAGTCTTAAATGTATATTGCAAACTCTAATGTACCCACTAAAAAAGCAAAAAATATGAAATATAACTAACATGCCAAGACAGGAGAGAAAATGAAATAACCTAAAATGTTCAATTTTACCATAAAAGGCAAAAAATAAAAGAGGGAGACAATAGAAAAAGAACACGGGCAACTAAGATAAAGCAGTAACAATTATAGTAGATATAAATCTAACCATATCAAGAATTTCTTTGACTGTTAATGGTCTAAATAAACCAATTAGAAGACAGATTGTCACAGTAGATCAAAAAATATTGTGTTTCTTAGAAATAATTAATTAGATGCAGTATTTTTATAGCAAAGTTCTAGCTCAGAAGGGTTTAACATTTTGCTGAACTTGGGTAATGTGACTATAAATTCCTTTGCCTCTCAGCCTCAGCAATGCACTCTGGTACACTTTTTAAAGTTAGCTGTCTCTCATGATCCACAAATGTAGCCACTTTTCAATGCTTTTCATAGCTTCATCCACACTATAGACATTAATTTCATACTTTCCAGAGCAATCTTATATGCAGATTGGCAAATATCTTCTTCCTTTTTCTGAATGTACTATAGTGTTGATTCATTAGCACTGAACTCATAGCCAGTAGCACTATAACTCATGCCTGAATTAAGCTTGTCTAACATCTCTTCTAGAAGCTTATTTGTTGCCTATTTCTCCATAAGGCACATCATAGCCTCCTTGTACTTAGTAACACCAGACAGCACACTACACTTTGGGGCCATTTAAATAACAAAACTACCTACAAAAACATAAAAATGTAAAAATTATGGCACTAAATATACTAAAAAAGACAATTATTTATACTATGAGAGCTGCAGCAAGAAATCATAGTGTTGCCTTGTTAACTTCAGCTGGGACTCTACATCTGAGCTGTACTCAGAAAACTATGAAATACCGATTCAAGAAATTAAAAATGACACAAACAAACAGGAAGACAACCCATACTCATTGATCAGAAGAATTAATATTGTTAAAATCACCATACTGCCCAAAGCAACCTATAGATTTAATGCAATCCCTCTCAAAATACCAATAACATCCTTCACAATAATAGAATACATAATCCCAAAATTTGTATGGAAACAAAAAAGGAGGCAGAGTAGCCAAAACAATTCGGAACAAAAAGAACAAAGTTTGAGGCATCCCATATCTGACTTCAAAATATATTACAAGTCTATAGTAACCAAAACAGCATGATATGTGTATTAAAACAGACAAATAGACCAATAGAACAGAATAGAGAACCCAGAAATAAGTTCTCATATTTACAGCCAACCGATTTTCTACGAAAGTGCCAGGAATATACATTGGAAAAAGGACACCTTCTTCAGTAAATGGTAAGGGCATAAATGATATTTATGGGGAGAAGAATGAAACTAGATCCCTATCTATCACCACATACAAAAGTGAACTCAAAGTGGATAAAATAAGACCTAGAACTGCAAAAGGACCAGAATGAAACCTACAGGAAATACTTTAGGACATTGGTCTCGGCAAAGATTTTGTGACTAAGAATTTAAAAGCATAGGCAAAAAGGTAAATTTTAAAAAATTTAATCTGATTAAAAAAATTAATCTGATTAAAAAGCAGGCAGAGGAGACGAATAAACATTTCTCAAAAGAAGAGTTACAAATGGCCAACAGATACATGAACAAATACTCAACATCACTAATTATCAGGAAAATGCAAGTCAAAATCACAATGAAATATCTTCCCATACCAGTTAGAGTGGCTATTATTTAAAAGACAAATAATAACAAATGCTGGTGAGGATGTTGAGAAAAGTGAACTCTTATACACTGCTGGTGGGACTGTACATTAGTACAGCCATTATGAAAAACATTGTAGAAGTTTATGAAAAAAAAAAAAACCATCCCAAAAGCCTAAAAATAGAACTACCATTTGATCCAGCAATCCCACTACTGGGTATTATCCAAAGGAAAGGAAATACTTGCATCCTCATGCATATTGCAGCTCTTTTCACAATAGCCAATATATGGAATCAACATAAATGCCCATCAACAGAAGAATGGTGTGTGATGGTTAATATTAAATGTCAACTTACCACCCTGAATGCACCCAATCTCCTCTGATCTCAGAAGCCTACTGCATTGTTACTTAATTTATATAAGCAGAAAACTTCAGGTCTAGTGGACCAAAGACTAATTTGATTTACAAAAACAGAGAATCATGGCCCCTCAATCAATTTCCAGACTTGAACCAGTTTACAGACCCAGAAGCTCTTGAATGAAGGGGAGACCGGGTCCCCTTGAGGAAGGACCCCACTACACTACCAACAATTTATGCTGTTAATCTTTCTCCCGTCCTTCCCCAAGGAGATCTCTGGTCTTTTATCAGGGTAACCCTGCATTGGGGAAAGTGAAATGATCAGACATTGCAAGGGCTACTGGACACTGGCTCTGAGCTGACATTGATTCCAGGGGACCCAAAACATCATTGTGGTCCTCCAGGTAAAGTAGGGACTTATGGAGGTTAGTAATTAAGGGAATTTTAGCTCTGGTCACACTTACAGCGGGTCTAGTGGGTCCCTAGACTCACTTGTGGTCATTTTCCCAGTGCCAGAATGCATAATTGGCATAGACATACTTAGCAGCTGGCAGAACCCACATATTGGCTCCCTGACTGGTAGGGTGAGGGCTACTATGGTGGGAAAGCCATTGACTTGGAAAATGCCAACGAAAAGCGATTTCAAGGCCAGTAAAATACCTTTACTGTCCTATCTCAGGAGTATATCAACTCTCCAGCTTTGTGTCATAATGTTGTTTGGAGAGAACTTGATCACTTTTCCCTTTCACAAGATATCACACTAGTCCATTACATTGATGACATTATGCTGATTGGATCCAGTGAAAGAGAAGTAGCAAATACACTGGACTTACCAGTGAGACATTTGTGTGCCCCAGAATGGGAAATAAATCCGACTACAATTCAGGGAGCTTCTACCTCAGTAATATTTCTAGGGGCTCAGTGGTGTCAAGATATTCCTTCTAAGGTGAAGGATACGTTTTTGCATTTGACACCTCCTACAACAAAGAAAAAGGCACAATGTCTGGGGGCCTACTTGGATTTTGGAGGCAACACATCCCTCATCTGGGTGTGTTACTCTGGCCCATTTATTGAGTGGCCTGAAAGGCTGCCAGTTTTGAGTGGGATCTAAAGCAGGAGAAGGCTCTGCAACAGGTCCAGGCTGCTGTGCAACCTGCTCTGCCACTGGGCCATATGACCAAGCAGATCCAATGGTGCTTGAGGTGTCAGTGGCAGATATGGATGCTGTTTGGAGCCTTTGAAAGGCCCCCATAGGTGAATCACGGCAGAGGCCTCTAGGATTTTGGAGCAAGGCCCTGCTGTCTTCTGCAGATAACTACTCTCCTTTGGATAAATAGCTCTTGACCTGTTACTAAGCTTTGGTGGAAACTGAACATTTGACTATGGGTCATCAAGTCACCATGTGACCTGAACTGCCTATCATTAATTGGGTGCTTTCTGACCCATCTAGCCATAAGATGGGGCATGCATAGCAGCATCTCATCATCAAATGGAGGTGGTATATACATAATTAGACTCGAGCAAGTCCTGAGGGCACAAGTAAGTTACATGAGGAAGTGGCTCAAATGTTCATGGTCCCCACTCCTGCCACCATGCCTTCTCTCCCTCAGCCTGCACCAATGGCCTCATGGGGAGTTCCCTATGATTAGTTGACAGTGGAAGAGAAAACAAGGACCTGGTTTACAGATAGCACTGCATGATATGCTGGCACTACTTAAAAGTGGACAGCTGTGGCACTACTGCCCGTTTCTAGGACATCCCTGAACAACAGTGGTGAAGGGAAATCTTCCCAGTGGGCAGAAAATCGAGCAGTGGACCTCATTGTGCACTTTACTTGGAAGGAGAAATGGCCAGATATGCAATTATATACTGATTCATGGGCTGTAGCCAATGGCTTGGCCAGATGGCCAGGGACTTGGAAAAAACATGATTGGATAATTGGTGACAAAGAAATTTGGGGAAGAGATATGTGGATGGACCTCTCCAAGTGGTCAAAAACTGTGAAGATATTTGTATCTCATGTGAGTGCTCACCAAAGGGTGACCTCAGCAGAGGAGGATTTTAAAAATCAAGTGGATGGGATGACTCATTCTTTGGATACCACTCAGCCTCTTTCCCCAGCCATCCCTGTCGTTGTCCAATGGGCCCATGAAAAATGTGGCCATGATGGTAGGGAAAGGAGGTTACACATGGGCTCAGCAACATGGACTTTCAGTCACGAATGCTGACCTGGCTACATCCACTGCTGAGTGCCCAATTTGCCAGCAGGAGAGACCAACACTAACCCCTCGATATGGCACCATTCCTTGGGGTGATCAGCTAGCTACTTCATGGCAGGTTGATTATATTGGACCTCTTCCATCATGGAAAGGGCAGTGGTTTGTCCTCACTAGAATAGACACTCTGGATATGGGTTTGCCTATCCTGCATGCAATACTTCTGCCAAGACTACCATCCGTGGACTCACGGGATGCCTTATCCACCATCATGGTGTTCCACACAACATTGCCTCTGACCAAGGCACTCACTTAATAGCTAAAGCAGTCTTAGCAGTGGGTTCAAGCTCATGGAATTCACTGATCTTACCAGGTTCCCCATCATCCCGAAGCAGCTGGATTGATAGAAGAGTAGAATGGTCTTTTGAAGTCAATTATAATGCCAACTAGGTGACAATACTTTTCAGGGCTGAGGCAAAGTTCTCCAGAGTGCTCTGTTTGCTCTGAATTATCATCCAACATATGTTACTGTTTCTTCCATAACCAGGATTCATGGGTCCGGGAATCAAGGGGTGGAAGTGGAAGTGGCAGCACTCACCATCATCCCTAGTAATCCCCTAGCAAAATTTTTGCTTCGTGTTCCCAAGGCATTACATTCTGCTGGCCTGGAGGTCTTAGTTCCAGAGGGAGGAACACTACCACCAGGAGACACAACAACGATTTCATTAATGTGGAAGTTAAGATTGCCACCTGGACACTTTGGGCTCCTCCTACCATTAAGTCAACAAGCTAATAAGGGAGTTACAGTGTCGGCTGTGGTGACTGACCCGGACTATCAAGATGAAATCAGTCTACTGCTCCATAACGGAGGTAAGGAAGGTTATGCATGGAATACAGGAGATCCATTAGGGAGTCTCTTAGTGTTAGCATGCCCTGTGATTAAGGTCAATGGGAAACTACAACAGCCCAATCCAGACAGGACTACAAATGGCCCAGACACTTCATGAATGAAGGTTTGGGTCATTCCACCAGGTAAAAAATCCTGACCTACTGAGGTGCTTGTTGAAGGCAAAGGGAATACAGAATGGATAGTAGAAGAAGTATTCATCAGTACCAGCCACGCCCGCGTGACCAGTTGCAGAGAGGAGGACTGTAATTGTCATGAGTATTTCCTCTTTATTTTGTTAAGAACATGTTTGTGCCTTTATACACTTGTACCAAGAAAATATCTTCATTTTATTTTCTTTTAGCTTTGTGACATAAGACTTATTGGCTTCTTATCAGCATTTAAGTGTTGTTAATTTTATATAACAGCATTTGGATTGGGGGCTGGTACATTTCCAGTTGTATGAAGGATAGTTGTATTATGTTAGGCACAATTATGATTTTATTATTGTCTTTATTTGAAGATTATGTATGATTTCAGAAGATGTATATGGGTTCAAGTTGGCAAGGAATGGACTTGTGATGGTTAATACTGAATGTCAACTTGATTGGATTGAAGGATGCAAAGTATTGTTCCTAGGTGTGTCTGTGAGGTCTGTGAAGGTGTTGCCAAAGGCGATTAACATTTGAGTCAGTGGACTGGGAAAGGGAGACCCACCTTTTAATCTGTGTGGGCACAATTTAATCAGCTGCCAGCATCACCAAAATAAAAGCAAGCAGAAGAACGTGGAGTGGAGAGATTAGACTGGCTTAGCTTCTGAGCCTAACATCTTTCTCCCATGCTGGATGCTTCCTTCCCTTGAACATGGGACTCCAGGTTCTTCAGGTTTGGGACTCGGACTGGCTTCCTTGCACTTTAGCTTGCAGATGGCCTATTGTGAGGCCTCATTTTGTGATCATGTGAATTAATAATCCTTAATCAACTCCTCTTTATATATACATCTATCTTATTAATTCTGTCTCTCTAAAGAATCCTAATACAAACAGATATAGAAAATGTGATAATATTGTCTCTCTATATACATATACATATAGACAGAGACACACAATGAAATACCACTCAGCCAAAAAAACAAACAAACAAATAACAAAAAAAAGAAATCCTGTCATTTGCAACAATATGAATGAGACTCCTGGAGGGCATCATGTTAAGTGAAATAAGTCAGACACAGTAAAATAAACAGCACATATTCTCATTCATATGTGAAACTAAAAAAAAAAAATTGAGCTCATGAAAATAGAGAGTGGAATTGTGAATCTTAGAGGCTGGGAAGGGAAGGGGGAGCGGAGGATATAGAGTGATTGTTTAACATATACGAAATTACAGCTAGAGAGTGAAAATGAGTTCTGGTGTTTTGCAACTCTGCAGGATAAATATGGTTAACTATAATTTATCATATATTTTCAAAAAACTAGAAAAGAGAATTTTGAATATTCACAATACAACAATGATAAATATTTCAGCTGATGGGTATGCTAGTTTGATTTGTTCATTACACATTGTATACATACATCAAAATATCACTTTGTATCCTATAAATGTGTATAATTATTGCATACCAACTAAAAACAAAAGAAAACATAAAAATTAAAAAATTAAAAACTAAAAAAATATGAATGGAAATTCTCATGCATACAATACACAATGCAGTGAATAGGCCCTTCTGGAGATATGCAAATCAGCAAAACTGTACACAGTAACCACTGGCATTACCCATTCTAGGTGGAATGTGGGACATTGTTAGCTCATACCTGTAACTCCTAATTAGAAATCATTAGAGAAAGACATTCTGCCATGGGAATTGTTGAGCTACAACGGTGAAGCAACATCAGGTCATTGCAAATGATTTAAAAATTCACAGTTGTATTATATTGGAATGTGGTCAGGGAACATGAAGCTAGTCAACTTTAACAGTCAAAAAATTTCACAAGAAATCATAGCCAATTCATATTCAGTGCTAATAACAGGATTGCTTTAAAAATAGCTATTATATTACTAAACAGCACTTTTGCAATGTTTAAGTTTTAAGTATTATTAAAGTGGTTAGTACTAGCAGAGTAGATATGAATGAATTGTGGCAACTGTAGTTTAACCATAGAAACTACAAGGTAAGCAACAGAGCACATTTTAGAGATTAAATAAATTAAGCAATTAAATTGGTTTACTAAGACCCTTGATGTTTTCAGGTAGATAATTATTATGAGAAAAATAAAATGTAATAAGAGAAATAGTATTTAAGTAGTGGACCAGTTTATGTAGAAAATGAAGGATCAGGAAACAAGAAAGTAACATGATCTTTATGTTTGACTTAGAAAACAAATTACATGAAATAACCAAGATGTCTCGAGCACAAATCATTGATGTTTTATCAGTTACTGATGTCAGCTTGGGTATAGCAAGATGGAAATGAAATAAAAAAAATCAGCCACTAAAATAAAGTTCTTCTTGGTATCAATGTCTTATCTACTTATTCTCTCTGTCTCTCTCTCTCTCTCACACACACATACACAGACACACACACACACACACGTGAATAGGGGATATTATGATTTGCTCTTTTTAAACAAGTTTTAAGAGCTCACTAACGTTTTGGTAAAACACTCTTCTGTAACGAATTCAAATAACTACAAGCTCTAGATTTATTGCTGATAATTATTCTACAGTTGCTTACAAAACATACCTGTGGCTAATTCCATACAGTTATAAGACAACAGTCTGCTTGGAGATCGATATTCTGTTTATATACTTGATTTTCTGCTGCTGGGTTGATATGATTAATTAAGCTCAATACCAGATAATTTTATTTAATGGATTTAAAGTGGAGTAACTTCAGGTCACAGCAAATAGACAGTAGTTTCACAGTTGAAAATCTAGCATTAATGCATTTATTAATATATTAAAAGTAGTAATAGCAAGCAGTCATCCCTGGTTAGGCAACTTATCTACTTCTAAACCTATGAAAAGAAATGATTCTAATATATGCTTATTTCAACTGCTAGGCTGGTTTCACAATAAAAACAAGTATATATTTATGCTTGTCCTTACCCAAACTATTTAAAGAACTTGAGCTTTTTCAATTACATATTTTGTTCTCATTAGTTTAAAACATTATTGCCTTCTATACATACACTGTTCATCTCTTTTGAAATGCAGACACACATTTTGAAATAATTAGGGTGAAGCCATAATGAATTAAAGGAAAATAAGCTATAAAATATTTTAAAAGATATGTACTGACATTACTGTTCTTTATAATAATGTTAATCACTGGATCTACTGACACAAGAGTAAATAGGAATAGCTTTTGAATTGCATATGAAGTTTCTAAGGCATTATGCATGTTTACAATATTTTGTTCTTCAAAAAGTGACCCAACTAACTTTCATACGATTTTGTGAAATTCATTAATTTGTGTGCTATAATTCTTTTCTCAAATAGTAGTAACAATAACAGTAACTTAAATAATTACACAGGCTCTCTGTGCATTATGAATTATGTAAATACAAATAGATTAAGAGTATGGTCACTGTATCCTTAACGCAGTAGTCTAACAGTTCAACAACTAGTTATTTTGAAATTCCTCATCTTGATATAATACAATAACATTACTTAAAGAAAATGGATTTATTTCACAACATAACATTTTTGTAAAATTTAGATGGTTAAGATGGTGAGATTGTGACTTCATTCTGATCATTTTTAGTTTCTGAAAAAAAAATTCTATGTAACATAACAGACAAAATTACTCGTATATTTTAGAGCACACTGTGGATAATTGTTCATTAATGGTTAACTATGATTAATATCTATAAATGACTTTTAACCATTGCTTAATTTCTACTTTAGCCATTCAACAGTGAATTGTTCTGCAGCAAATTGTTGGCATTATTGCTAGCTCTTATTCCCACAGGTTTTTGTTTATGGTCATGGCATCTTAAAGTCCAAAACCGGCTTCAAGTTTTTTATCTCATAATTCACATTAAATACCTTATAATAGATTATTAAGCTGTCAGTATTTAATATGCGAGTTTGTTTTGTTTCATAAAAGTGTTATATGACATCAGTTTGAAAGAAGAAAACAAGATGAAATGAGAAATAGCAGGGATGGGCTAACTTTTTAGCTGAGGGGATGCTAACTAGCCTTGGTAAGGTATCACAGCGGGAGGATCTGGAGTATGGGGAGAGCTTGTGCGGTCCGAACATCTCAGGAGTTAACACTTGATAAAAAGATTGAAGTAAACGGAGAAAATGCTGTAATTGTTTCTAAATACTAGGTTCAATGAATGGTCATTAGGGATATGCATTTATTTCATAGTACAACATTCATCTACATAAAGATTGCCACAGAATTGCATTGATGGTCATTTAAAGAAGAAAACATTAGTTATTAATGATAGCAGAATGTAAACTCAGAAAGAACATTCACTGAGCATGAGAGGATAGTAAACTTTATAATATAATCAAAGATTTTATTTAACTTAGAGAAACTACCAAAATATTAAATACCTGAAAACTAACATAATTTAGAAAAGGATTATAAATCTCAAAGGCCTTGGCTTCATTATAATAGATATATAATTTACGCTCTTGGAAACATTGGGAATACTGATTTTTACATATTCATTAGCATTCTTATATTTGTTACAAATCCAAGTCTATTTAAAATGTGCTCATAAATAGGAAGAGGGGTGAAGCTGGGAGAGAGAGAGTGGAGAGCACAGTAGACACCTGAAGATAAGTAGAATTTTTCAGCTTTTACAAAGGATTGTTGAGGAAATGTCACTTTTTTATTTATGCATTTATTAATTCATGAAGTATTTAATGATTGATATTGAAATGGTTTAAAATTCCCCTGCTTAGACCATTTTGGTTTGAATTCACATTATTTTTTTTGCTGAAACTGGTAATAAAGATTTATTTAAATGGTTCCCATCACTTTAACTATAGAGAAACAGAAGAAGATTACTTAACAATTGTAAAAAAAATACGTGAAAAATAATATTATCTGTAGTACTTAGTACGATTATGATTTGCTCTGTTCAGCAAAAGTTGAGAGGAAAGGATGGGTCACTTCTGGGTGGAAGCTCCAAGAACTGACAGGTGCTTCATTTGATGATGTTTTCCTTTTGTCACATGACCAGTGATGTCTCAGATGAGGGCCACATTTTCTGTCTAAATATTAAAGTGAAGATGTCAAGGACCAGAGGACAGAGCAGACTCATGATGGACATATATTACTTGAAGGAGAAATGAGCCTTTGTTGTTGTAAACTGTCGAGATGTAGGGGATGTTTGTTTCTGCAGCATCATAATTTAGTCAAAGTTAACATATTTATTCCTTAATATGTTAGAATGTTGGACTTCTTTTTATTTTAATTTTTAGAATTTTTTTTTTTTGCAAACTTCTTTTTTAAAGCCTATGGATTTCTTTTTAGAGTATACAATATAAGTATTCCAGAAGACTTATTAATATTATCAAGTAATAGCCAAATATTCTCTGAGAAGTTTTCATAATACGGATCCTAAAGTAATCTCTCACTGATTGTAAAGGGAATTCCAAGACGTTTATTCTCTGTGAAATTGTCCTTAGATCATTGGTCACCTCAAACAATACATACTAGCTACCCGTTACAAATATTACAAGATATTCTTACCTAGACAAGGGATATTGAAAAAAGGGATAAATGCAGAAGTAAGATTATTAAAGAAGAAAAATAAAGTGGAATAGGAAAATATAAAAAACATGAATAAGAAAATAAATTATGCACTGCTTCTCATATGCTGATGGCTCACTTCGACAAAAATATAAAGAAATATTTCATGCATCTCTTCCCATGGAATATTATGTAAATTTTGTTTGCATTCATTTTATGACAAACTCACAAATCTGGTTGCAAATCCCAATAAATATATATATATGTAAATGACAGATAAAAAGCTGAAATTTAATATACTTGTCACTTAACAGGCTACCATATGTCTGAACATTCATTATGTAGAAAAAAACAGTGAATGAGATTTTGCCTGAAAGACAAATAGATCACATTAAATTCTGAGGAAATAACATTTAAGTGAATTGGAATTATATTAAAAGAGCCAAATGCAGTAAAACTTTCGGAGAGGTGAGAGTTTAGTGTGGAATCCACAGTAATTTACATATGGTGATAGAAACATTAGAGTAGACATACATTTTGTAGAAACCCAGAATTCTGATAATTCTTACTCTGCTAAACTCACATAATTTTTATACATTTTTACCATAGCAAAATACACATAAAATTTACTATCTTAACCATTTCAAGTATACAGTTCAATGTTATTAAATACACTCATTATGCTGTGCAACCATCACTACTATCGTTATAACTCTTACATCTTGTAAAACCAAGATTACTATACCCATTATACAATAACTCTCCTTACCCCCTTGCCCCAACCCCTGGCAACCACCACTCTACTTTCTATGATTTTGATTACTCCAATTGTCTTATATAGGTAGAATCACACAGTATTTGCCATTTTATGATTGACTTATTTCACTTAGCATATTTTCCTCAAATTTATCTATGTCTTAGCATATTGAATAATTTCCCTCTCTTTTAAGACTGAATAATATACCCTTGTATGGATACATATTACATTTTTCTTATCCATTTATCTGTCAATGGACACTTGGGTTGCTTTCATGTTTCACACATTGTGAATACTGCTGCTGTGAATATGAGTGTACAAATATTTCTTTGAGACTATGCTTTCATTTCCTTTGCATATATACTCACAAGTGGAATTGCTAAATCATATGGTGATTCTGTTTTTAATTCTTGGAGAAAGTGCCATACAGTTTTCCCCAGCAGTGGTACCATTTCAAATTTCCACTAAAAGTGCAGAAGGGTTTTCATTTCTCCACATTCTTGCAAATATATACTATTTTCTGGGGTATTTTATATCATTTTAATGAATGAGAAGTAGTAACTCATTGTAGTTTTGATTTGTGTTTCCTTAATGATTGGTGATATTGAACATACATTCATGTGCTCGTTGGTCATTTATATATCTTCTTTGAAGAAATGTCTATTCAAGTTTTTTGCCCATTTTTTAATCAGGTCATTTGTCTTTTTATTTTCTAGTTTTAAGTGTTCTCTATACATTATGGATATTTTACATTTATCAGGTATATGATTTGTAAATATTGTCTTCAATTCTGTGAGTTGCCTTTTTGCTGTGTTTATATTGTCTTTTGATGTGCAAATTTATTACATTTTTATGAAGTGCAATTTGTCTATTTTTTCTTTTGTTGTCTGTGTCTTTGGTGTCATATCCAAGAAATCATTGCTAAACCAGTCACATGAAGATTTTGCACTATGTTTTCTTGTAAGTGTTTGTCGTATAGTTTTGGGTCTTACATTTATTTTGATATTTGATTCATTTTGAGCTAAATTTGGTATGTGACATTAGATAAGAGCCTACCTTCATTCTAATGCGTGTGGATATCTAGTTTTTCTAGTACAATTTGTAGTAAAGACTGTCATTTCCCTATTGAATGGTCCTGGCATCCTCAACAAAAATCATTTAGCCATATATGCAAAGGTTTATTTCTGGGGTCTCTGTTCTGTTTGCCTCTATATCTATTTTTATGCAAGTACCACACTGTTTTGATTACCATAGCTTTGTAGTAAGTTTTGAAATTAGAAAGAATAAGTTCTCTAACTTTATCTTTTTCAAAATTGTTTTATCTACTCCAGGTTCCTTGAGATTTCATATAAATTTTAGGATGGGCTTTTCTATTTCTGCCAAAAACATTATTGCATTGAAGCTGTAGATCGCATTGAGTAGTACTGAGATTTTAATAGTACTAAGTCTTCCAATCCAAAAACCTGAGATGTAGTTCCATTTGTTTATGTCTGTTTTAATTTCTTTCAGTAATGTTTTGTACCTTTTATTAAACAAATATTTCATTTCTATGGTTAATTCCTAAGTATTTTATTCTTTTTGATGCTATTATAATGGATTTGTTTTTGTAATGTTGTTTTCAGGTTGTTCATTATTAGTATATAGAAATGCAACTAAATTTTACTTATTCACTTTGTACCCTGCTTTTTGCTGAATTATTGTTTCAATTGTATGTGTGTGTGTGAGAGAGAGAGAGAGAGAAAAAGAGAGATCTTTAGGTTTTTCTGGATATAAAGTCATATATTTGTAAACAAAGATGAATTTACTTCTTTTCCAATTAGGATTCCATTTATTTATTTTGATTGCCTAATTTCTCTGACTAGAGCTTCTAGTATTATGATACATAGAAATGGCAAAAATGAGCATTCTTGCCATACACTTGATCTTAGAGGAAAAGCTTTCAATCTTTCACCATAGAGTATGATATTCGTTGTAACTTTTTCAAATATAACTTTTATCATGTTGAGGTGATTTTCTTCTATCAGTAGTTTGTTGAGTGTTTTCTTTTCATCATGAAAGGGTGTTGGATTTTGTCACTTTTTTCTATATCAATTGAGACCATCATGTGTTTTTTTTTCTTGTATTCTGTTAATGTGATATATTGATCAATTTTCATATGTCAAAACATTATTTCTTTTATATTTTATTAATTTTTCTTCCCATATGATCTAGAGGAAATATCAAACCATTCTTTTATATCAGGAATAAATGCCATCTAGTCATTATATATAATCCTTTTAATACGCTGCTTAATTTGGTTTGCTAGTATTCTATGGAGGATTTTTGCATCAATGTTCATATTGATTTATAGTTTTTTTTTTTGTAGTGTCTTTATCTGGCTTTGGTATCACAGTAATACTGGCCTCACAGAATGAGTTATAAAGTGTTTTCTCCTTTTTGATTTTTTTTTCTTTTTTTGGAAAAATTTGAGAAGGACTGGTATTAGTTCTTCCTGAATGTTTATTAGAATTCATTTTTGAGGTCTTCAGGTCCAGAACTTTTCTTTGTCAGGAGATTTTTTTTTATTACAGATTCAGTCTTCTTACTAGTTATAGGTCTATTCAGATTTTATTTTTCTTTGTGTTTAGTTTTTGGTAGGTTTTCTGTTTCTAGGAATTTGTTCATTTTATCTAAGTTATCTAATTTGTTGGTAAATACTTGTTCATAGTACTATCTTGTAATAAATTTCATTTTCTAGAATTAGTAGTAGTGTCTTCACTTCCACTTCTGATTTTAGTAATTTAAGAAATTTAAGAAAAAAAGGGAGAACTTTTTTCTTAGTCCATCTAGCTAAACATTTGTCAATTTTGTTGATCTTTTCAAATAACTAACTTTTGGTTTCATTGATTTTCTCAATTTTTTTCTGTTTTTTTATTTCATTTATTGCTGTTCTAATGTTTATTTTCTTCCTTCTGCTAGCTTTGTTTTTGGTTTGCTTTTCTTTTTCTACTTTCTTACATTGTAATATCAGGTTGCTGATTTGAGATATTTCTTGTTTTTTAATATACAAGCATTTGTAGCCATAAATTTTCTCCCTAGCACTGCTTTTGCTGTTTTGGTTTGTTGTGTTTTTATTTTCATTGGGAAAACTGGTGCATACATATTCATTTACCCTTTTTATTAGATAAACACTATGTCCAAATAAATTATAACCAGATTGGAGGAGATGTAATACATTAAATTATGTTGTAGCCTTGTCTCTCTAGGCTTATTTATGTGTGTCCTATGGATAGGCAAAAGACACACTTGCAAAAGATAATTCAGCTAGTAGTAGACTATCTTTACAACTAGTACATAAAATGAAAGTATTCACAGTCTCCACATTATCCTATTCCGATATGCAGCCAAAGCAACAATTGTGATTATCTGGGAAGTTTAACTGTATTTAATTACTCACTGAAGTGGACTCACAATTTTGCCTTGAGGGCTGTAATGTAAAAATTCCAGCAGATCCTGTTTATGTGAAATGTTCTGTTCTGGGATTTCATACCAGTTAAAGCACAAATGGATATTTCTACCCTAATGACATAGACCACTTTTTTCTCCCTGGTGATTTGAAACTGTGGAGGCTATTGAAATTCCTTGAAAAAATTTACCTATGGGGGAGAAACAAAGCCTAACACAAACCATTGATAAATGGAGAGTATGTAACTTGAACAGAAGATGATTTGCAAGTCACATTTTTGAAAATATTACATTAATAATTACTTCAGATTCTGCTCAGTTATAAGAAGTTGTGGGAAATGGGGATGTGTGAGGAAAAGAACATATATAAGTGAGTAAGTGCCAAAATTTTTAAATAAATGTAGATATGTAAATAGTAAAATATGTGTAAAAATGATTAATATTTAATAAATGGAATAATAATAAATATAGATATTAATTGAAATAAATATAGATAAGTGCTTTAAGCTTGCTACCAACACATTTTACATAAACAATACTGTATAAAATGTTCTTCCAAAAGTATGTCTGAAATTTATAAAGGAATGAAAATCAAAAAAGCATAGGAAAATAAGTGGGTATATCTAAACAAAGATTGATTAAATAAACCAAAAAAAAAGAGGCTACATAGGGTTAAAATAATATAAAATTAAAATATCTAATAATTGTACTATATAAACCAGAAGAAGTTGTGATTAAAATTGAAATATCTTAAGGTCATTGTGTTTTGGGGGTGGAGGCAAGGATTAAAAGAGAAATTATTGCAGATTTTAAGCACTGCAAATTTTCTTTGGTAACTACTAAATGGGTAGACAATATAACTCCTATCTAATTGAGGAAAACTCTGGAATGTTAAAAATTCAATGCAAAAGAAGGCAGGAATAGAGATAAAGGCAAAGAAAGGCAGTTCAAATTAAAAGCACATAAAAGTGATAATCCAAATATTACAAAAAATCAGAATGCTTTATTTACAAAAAAAATTGTCAGAACAAAAATAAAAAAGAAAACTCTAGCTATGTACTACTTACCAAGAGCTATTTAAACATCTAAAGCAAGGATAAAACAAACAGTTCAGCCAGGCGCGGTGGCTCACGCCTGTAATCCCAGCACTTTGGGAGGCCGAGGTGGGCAGATCATGAGGTCAGGAGATGGAGACCATCCTGGCTAACATGGTGAAACCCCGTCTCTAATAAATATACAAAAAATTAGCTGGGCGTGGTGGTGGGCGCCTGTAGCCCCAGCTACTCAGGAGGCTGAGGCAGGAGAATGGCGTGAACCTGGGAGGTGGAGCTTGCACTGAGCCGAGATTGCGCCACTGCACTCCAGCCTGGGCCACAGAGCGAGACTCTCCGTCTCAAAAAAAAACAAAAACAAAACAAAAAACGAACAGTTCAGAGTATAATGATAGAAAAAGTTATGTCAGGCACAACTTAGCAAAAGAAAGCTTTTAATGACATATAAAATATGCATTATATTTTATTCTAGAAATCAGAAAATATGCTTGAATCTGGCCTGTTTTCTCTCTGATCTCGTTCTCTCCCTCCCTGACTGTGCCTTTGGGTACAGGGCTTTTGGCCCTTGTAGCTTACACTTCCCAGGCTCTGTGCTGTCTGATCAAAGAGTAGCACCAACAGGAGCCTGAGATGGGGAAAAGGGGAAGGGTCAGTGTATTTCTTCTACCCTTGCCTCTGTACCTTGGGCTGTGTCTCCCCTGTGACCCTGCCCTCTGTGACTGCAGCTTTCTCCGGACAGGTCTGTCTGCTCTGGTCTCAGATACCTCCAACTCCTCCTCTCTTTTTTTTCTCCAGTTTCAGCTTAGTAATGATCTTCTTCTGTTGCAAATTTCTAGGCTGCCTCAATATTGCCTGTAGACTTCTCAACTCTCCCATCATCTGTGTAACTAATTCTTGGTGTTAAATTCCATCTGAACTCCTTCAGGTAGTTTCTTATGTCCTAATTGGATCTTAACTCATATGGTTTGAATATTTATGTTCCCTCAAAATTCATATGTTGAAACCCTGACTCCAATATCATGGTATTAGGATATGGGACCTTTCAGAGGTGATTATGTCACTCGAGGGTGGGGCCTGCCTGAATGGAATGAGTGGCCTCAAAAAAGAGGCACAAGGGGGCTCGTTTGTCCCTTCTGCTATCCAGAAACACAGCAAAAAAAACTGCTCTCCATGAATCAGTAAGCAAACCCTCACCATGCACTGAATTAGCCTTATCTTGGACTTCCCACATTCCAGAACTGTGAGAAATAAATTTCTGTTTTTTTTATAAGCCACCCAGTTTATGATGTTTTGTTATAGCAACCCAAAGGGACTAAGACATCATATGAGGGTAAATGATATTTCTCACCAGAAGTGTTTAATGATTCTAATTTTATATACACTTTATAACATAATTTCAAAGGATACAAAATAAAAAACTGATAGGATTACAAATAGGTGTAGATAAGTCCCCCATCATTCCAGGAGATTTTAACACACACCAAGCAAAGTTTTATCTCAAGTATAACTTTTTCCTGAGCTTATTAGCTGTAAATCCCCATTTCTATGCAAATTGTATACAAGGACAGACTCATCAGCTGAAAAACGGCTATTGATAATGCACAATTGTTATCTGTGCTACTCATCCTTACTCTATTTAAGCACACATGGAATGCCTACTATGTGCTGCTGGTACACACCTGCAAAAGAAAGAAAATTAAAAACCAATGAAGATCTCCAATTCAGTAGAAATTATAATTGATAGGCAGATAGTAAGGGTAAAAGAGTCCTCGGCAGAGTTTCCCTTTTAAAAAAAAGTAGCCCCTAAATAATTTCTTTTCTAACAAAGAGCAGCCTCAAAATTTGAGCTGCAGACATAGATAAGCAAGCTGGGAGCTTGTAGCGGTGAATGCCAGTAGCTGTGCCAAAGGAAAAGGGCTACCTTGGAACCAACTATGTTCAACATGGAGGCTCCATCTTCCCTTTTCTTTGCCACCACGTGTACAGTAAAGAAACAGGCAACATGGCAGCGGCCAGGTAGAGAACCCATCTGCATAATAAAAGACTAAGGCGGGGAGGCCAGATTTTCACACCCTATGCAAATGGCACACCTGGCCCTAACCGCTTTTTCCTGCCCTATGCAAATGGCACACGTGGCCCAACCAATCTTTCATGCCCTATATAGATCAGACACTGCCTCCTCAAACTCATCGATAAAACTCCTTGCATTCCACAGTGGAACTGGCAACCCACTTCTCCCAGACCCCTCTCTGCCACAGAGAGCTTTTCTTTCTTTCTCCTATTAAACTCCGCTCTGAACCTCACTCTGTGTGTCTGCATCTTAGTTTTCCACAGCTCTGAGACAACGAATCTTGGGTATTAACCCCAGAAAATGATGCCACTTTATAATCACTTTGCATCATAAATAAATTAGAACCAGAACAATGCAGAAATAGATATATAAAGTGCCACGAGTGTGAAACTGCCTGTGAAGGAAAATAAAACTAGGCCCTGAAGAATAAAATAAGTTTGCAAGGAGAGAAAGTCAGAATTCCGACTTTTTTAATTTATAAATCCATTATGGAGCACACATTTACCATGTCAGCCACAGTTTCTGGTAATGAGGATATGTAATTTAAAAATACAGCCGTTTCCCTTATGGATTTTGTAGTCCATTGGAGAACCTGAGAAGACTTAGGAAGCACCCCTTATATAGGCTGCAGAAGGGGAAGCTAAACAAGCTTCCTGAAAGAGGTGGCATGAAAGATACTCGTTTTTAAAAATCAAGTAGAGTGTTTATCAGAAGAATGAGAGTGGTGGGGGTGGGGGAGAAGGGAGGGACATTGCCCCAAGTGTTCAAGACATACTCTTGCAGAGAGAAACAGTTTCCTTCCTTCCCTTTTTTTTTCTCTTTTGTCCTTTCTTTCTTTCTCCTTTCCTTTCTTCCATCCCTTCCCTCCCTCTCTCTCCATCTTTCTTTCTTCCTTTTTCTCTTTTTGCTTTTCTTCCCTCTCTCCCACCCTTTCCACCCTCTCCTCCCTCTCTCCCTCCCTTTCCTCCCTCTCCTCTTCTCCTCCATTCCTTCCTCCCTCCCCTCCCCCCTCCATCCCTCCCTCCCTTTCTCACCTTCCTCTCCTTCCTCCCTCCCTCCTCTTCCCCTCCCCCTCCCTCCCTTTCTCACCTTCCTCTCCTCCCTCCCTCCCTTCCTCCCTCCCCTTCCCTCTCTCGCGCTTTCTTTTTTTCCTTCTCTTTCCTTTCATCCTTCCCTCCTGCCCACCCCTCTCTCTTGCTCTCTCTCTCTTTTTTTTTTTTTGAGATGGAGTCTCGCTCTGTCGCCCAGGCTGGAGTGCAGTGGTACCATCTCGGCTCACTGCAACCTCTGCCTCCTGTGTTCAAGCGATTCTCCTTGCTCCGTCCAGCTAATTTTTGTAGTTGTACTAGAGACGAAGTTTTGCCATGTTGGCCAGAGTGGTCTCCAACTCCTGACCTCAGGTGATCCGCCCGTCTTGGACTCGCAAAGTGCTGGGATTACATGCGTGAGCCACTGCGCCAGTCTTTCTTGCTCTCTCTCTCTCTTTTTTTTTTTTCCTTTTCCCTCCCTCCGTCCCCTCCTTCTTTCCTTTCTTCCTGCCTGCCTGCCTTCAATCTCTCTCTCTCTCTCTCTTTTTTTAGACGGAGTCTCGCTCTGTCGCCAGGCTGGAGTGCAGTGGCGCAATCTCCGATCACTGCAAGCTCCGGCTCCCTGGTTCAAGAGATTCTCCTGCCTCGGCCTCCCCAGTAGCTGGGAATACAGGCATCTGCCACCAAGCCCAGCTAACTTTTGTATTTTCTTTTTCTTTTTATTTATTTATTTATTTTATTTTATTTTATTTTATTTTATTTTATTTTATTTTATTTTATTTTATTTTATTTTATTATTTTTTGAGACGGAGTTTCGCTCTGTTGCCCAGGGTGGAGTGCAGCGGCGCGATTTCGGCTCACTGCAAGCTCCGCCTGCCAGGTTCACGCCATTCTCCTGCCTCGGCCTCCTGAGCAGCTGGGACTATAGGCGCCCGCCACCACGCTGGGCTAATTTTTTGCATTTTTAGTAGAGATGGGGCTTCACCGTGTTAGCCGGGATGGTCTCAACTTTTGTATTTTTAGTACAGACGGGGTTTCACCATGTTGGCCAGGATGGTCTAGATCTGACCTCGTGATCCGCGTGCCTCGGCCTCCCAAAGTTCTGGGATTACAGGCATGAGCCACCACGCCCGGCCCTCTCTCTCTTTAATACCTCCTGTATTTCACCACTCTTGCAAAGTGAATACGTATATCCAAAAGGTTTACATACAAACAAAAGGTTACCAAGTGTGCAATTTCTGAAGCTACTCCTTTAGAGAAATAATATTTTAAACATATGTGAGGTTCTCACAGAAGGTGAGACAAACATTATACTTCATTTCCTAACTCTGTGTGCAATATTGACAATAAGAAAGATGTATTCAGTTTAACAAGTATTATTGAATTCCTCTTTGATTACTATTATAAGCAGGGGGAAGCATGGGGGTGGGGAAGTCTCCAAGAACTATAGGAATTTAATCAACATGAACAATCAGGCTATTTTACAGATTCCTGCCTTGCAGTATTGTTTTTTTCCGAAACCCTGTATGGAATGCAGTCACCTAGTAGGCTAGAACTAGCTGCAAACAGACTCTAGCAACTTATAGATGAAACCTGAATGAATTTTCCTCATTATCATGCTAAAGCTTCCACGCTGGGAGAAGCTATGGCTTCATTACCGAAACTTGCGACCTACCTGCTGGCATGTGTCACTATACTTCGTATGTGCTCCTGTCCATGCGATGATGCACCCTCTCCCCTCTCCATCACCAGGTAAAACACTCCTCACAATTTCTGAAAATATAAGGCTTTACATTAAGTCTATCCAGGGGCACCATTGACAATGACCTAAGTTGCTAATAAATGGTCTGTAATTTATATGAATATTTGATTTTTGCAAAGTTGTTATTATTATTTTGTTTGCTTATTCTGACAATGACCTAAGTTGCTAATAGATGGTCTATAATTTATATGAATATTTGATTTTTGCAAAGTTATTATTTTGCTTATTCTATTTCAACAGACATCATTTTGTAGCTAATTTAATTCCTTTTACTGCATTTCATTAACATTTAAAAGAAGAAAGAAAGATATTAAGACATTCTCTGTGTATTTTTATACATGTTTATAGGGTTATCTTTGTACTAAAAATTCCAGAGACATCAAATCTCTTCAAACAAATCCAAGGTTACCAAAGCAATAGCATTTACTGTTTAAATTAATCCCTTTGAACACACCCTCCAATTCTCTGCCCTAGAAATATTACCCCCTAGAAAAGAACTTAACGTTTTCACATCTTTGACAAAGAGCTGTATCAATGTGTGCTACCCTGCATTTTCCTGAAAATTCATAAGAAATCATTTCAGTCAATCCAATAGTAAGTTTAAAAAATTATTTTATAGTTTTATCCAGAATCTTGACATTTCAGGTATTTGAGACTCCTGTTTTTTTTTTAATCTGACCTTTTCTACCTAAATATCATATTTTTGCGTTGCATTTTGATAACTCAATAACACTTTTAAATGAACGTTTCATGCTTTTGACTCTAAAGTATACAGATCAACATGGCAAGAGCAAGTTCCATTTTTTAATTTAAATATTTTCATGGCTTTAAGCAGACTTTAACCTTTACAACAGCCTGGATGCAATTCTGATTAACACCTTCACTATTTAGCCTGGTGATTCAGTGGAGGTGAGCCCTTTCCCTTATAGTAGGAGTATGCAAACTTTTTAATATCTGAACTAATTGAGAAATAATGAAAATTTTTACAGGCAATTTTTTTTTATTCAACATGAAAATGTTCTTATTGCTCTACATTGGTATATCTATATATATATATTCACACACACACAATATCTATATAAACAATGTAGAGATAGAGAAACTATCAAACTGAAGGCTAGAAAAAAATGAACTTTCATTAGGCAATAAAATAATATATGGTAATATTTGTGCTTTTCAGTATGAATGTTTACCCCTTATAACTGTATAGTGACAGTTTCCAGAGAAGATTTATATACCTTATATTGCCAGAAAACAAAGTACAAAATAGGCATTATTCCATTATTTTGAGTAAATATAGTCAGAGCTATAAAATATGTTGCCCAATCTCACAAGAAAAATTAACTACAATTATTAGAGTAGTTTTTTTTAGTCAAAATTATACTGCTGAAATAATTTTATTACATTCCATGTTGTATTAACTTTGCTGTTCCGTGCATATTTGCCATCAGAGAATCAGCCTCTTTTCGTAAATGAGGAAAATATTTCTTAAATGTTTATGCTGCGTGGCTTCAGAAAGCTTAGAGTTTATATCAAGTTCCAATACATAAGTATTTCTGAACCAAAATCTTACAGTCACTAGCGAAAGGACCCTGGTTCATATTCCGGCCTCAGTAGGTTGCCTAGCTACATGCTTGCCTGGCCTGACACCAGCCTGCCCCTAATTCTTCACTGCAAACATGGGAACAGATTTCTTCCTCAATTCTACAAAACTCTGCTTAGTCCCAGCTGTAACTCTGAGCCAAACTTCAGTGAAAGCTGGGAGATAGCAGATAGAAATTACAAGTCAGAAAAGAAAATGTTAGAGCCAGACAGGGGCCATAAATTCTCCTGGATACCAAAACTGACGACTCTTTACAGGGTGAATCTTCTGTCTCTCTCACCTTATTGTCCATTCTCCTGCTGTCAGCTGGCAAAGACCAGTTTATCTCCCTCAGTGGCCATATTCTGAACCTGACTTCTACCTTCATGTTCTCTAGATTGCTGCAGTGATGGAGGTAAATGCTATTTTCTATTCCCAGGCTCTTGCCCACCTCCAATCAAAATTTTAATAAAATTTAGAAATGCAAATAATCCACAATCAAGACAAACTTTTATATTATTGTGCAGAGTAGTTTAGCTTGAATTACTGCATAACAGCTTGCAATTTGGCTTTCTTTTTGCAAAAGAAAAATGACCACTAATGCTGTCCATTAATTAAAAAAAAAGTTTTTGCATGAAAAGGATTGAAAACTACTGCTGAGAGCTTTGAAATATTGTATTTTACCCTTTGTGGCAGAGACTGGCAGCTGGTCGCCAAATTCATTCCCTTTGTTTTGAGCACACATTTACCAGCCTCCTTTGCACTTAGATATGAGCCAATAAAATGTGAGCAAAAGTAATAAACACTACTCTTAGGTCATACTAAAAGTCTTTCATGCATAATTATCTATTCTTTCTCCTTCTGGAGTTAAAAGTGTTTCTTAACCTCTCTAAACTGCCACTCCTCATAGAATGGTTATGATAACATTAACTCATATGACTGTGATAAATGAAGTGAAGGAATGTATAACATTTCCCTCAACTATTGTTACAGGGTAAATAAAAAATGGTACTGTTAATCCTTCAATCTAGTATCTTTCCTCAGTTCATTTCCTCTTGACCTCTGATATAGTTTATATTTGTCTTCTCCAAATCTCGTGTTGAAATCTGATCCTGATGTTGGAGGTGGGGACTGGTGCAAGGTGTTTGGGTCATGGGGATGGATCCCTCATGAATGGCTTGGTACCCACCCCATGGTAATGAGTGAGCTCTGGCTGTATTAGTTCAAGCAGAGCTGGTTGTTTAAAAGAGCATGGCACCCCATCCCTCACTCTCTTTCTTTTCTCCTCTCTCACCACGTGATGCCTGGTGATGCCCTTTCCATTCAACTATGATTGGAAGCTTTCTGCCATCCTTACCAGAAACAAATGCTGGTGCTTTGCTTCTTGTATGGCCTGAAGAATAATAAGCCAAATAAACTTCTTTTTGTTTTAAATTACCCAGCCTCAGATATTCCTTTATAACAATGCAAAATTTACTAAGAAAACTTTTCAGAAACATTCAAAAATAGTGACTCCTTTTGGACTGTCCTCTTCTTTTCCTTTTTCTCCCCACTATGTTGCTCAGGCTGGAGTGCAGTGGCAGGATCTCTGTTCACTGCAGCCTCCATCTCCTGGATTCTAATGAGCCTCCACCTCAGCCTCCCAAGTAGCTGGAACTACAGGTGCATGTCACCACAGCCAGCTAAGTTTTTTTTTGTATTTTTAGTAGAGACAGGGTTTCGCCTTGTTGCCCAGGTTGATCTCAAACTCCTGGACTCAAGTGATCCACCTGCCTCGGTCTCCGAAAGTGCTGGGACTACAAGCTTGAGCCACCGCACCTGTCCTTCTCTGGTTTTTTGACAGTTTACTTGTTCTCTTCCTGCCTTCTTGACCACTCTTTTTTTTTTTTTTAATGTATTTCTTTTTCCCCCCTTTAAGACTTAAATATAGAAATTCCCTACAGATTTGTTCCTGAATCTCCACTTATTATTCATTGACTTGAAAAATGTCATCTCCTCTACTAGCCTCTTTCACCTCCCTTTACATAGTCTTCAAATCTTTATGTTTATCTCTGATTTTTTTTCTTGAGCTCCAGTTCTTCATTTCTAACAAGTATCCAAAATTTTAGACATGTATATTATTCTCACCACTTTGCAGCTTTCTTGACTTTTTCACATTTTATATTTAATCGTGTCTTCTGAGGTGAAAAATTTTGTAATTTCTGAACTTTGACATTTAAGCTACACTCTACATTGTTGCTTTAATCATTTTAGTTCAGGTCCTCCCTACTCTAAAAGTAAAATGTGGCTGGGCGCAGTGGCTCACGCCTGTAATCCCAGCACTTTGGGAGGCTGAGGCGGGTTGATCACCGGAGGTCAGACGTTCAAGATTAGCCTGGCCAATATAGTGAAACCCTGTCTCTACTAAAAATACAAAAATTAGCTGGGCATGGTGGCAGGTGCCTGTAATCCTAGGTACTTGGGAGGCTGAGGCAGAGTAATCGCTTGAACCCTGGAGGTGGAGGTTGCAGAGAGCCGAGATTGTTCCATTGCACTCCAGTCTGGGCGATGAGAGAAACTCCATCTCAAAAAAACAAAGAAAGAAAGAAAATAAAATAGAAGTAAAATGGTCTCATTTTCTTCGGCCCTGTTTCAATTTAGACCAATACATCTAAAGCTCATATGTTAGGAAACATAATTGAATCTCTATTGTCTGATGTAGGGGGGTTTAATGTCCATAAAAGTAGGCACATAAAGTACATTGCCAGAGCAATTAAGTGGAAACTGGCAAGCTGTATTCCTTATTCAAAGGGGCAGCTCAAGTCAGCTTCACTGAGTGCTGTCATTAATGAATGCTGGCTAAGTGTTATAATACCTTCTAGTTATCTTTCACTTGAAGAGAAGACAGAAGTTCATATTTTATATTATAATTCACAATTTTAAAATATTGCCATCTTGTAAAAATATTTTAAAGCATAATTTTCGGCAAACAAAATGTATTTTGGGACTGAAAGGAACGTACTGGTGGCTAGTTTGAGATCTCATCAAACGTTTAAAAGGAAACAAACCCTGAAATGTGCAATAACTTCTTACAAAGAAAGTGCGCTGAAACCTGTTGTACACGCTCAATTCTCAGCAGCCCTAGCTGTAAGATGATCACTTACCTCATACGCATTCAGTGTATGCCTCGCCCTGTCTGGGAAGCACTAGTTAACATGCGTTTTACTGTGACACTCAACATCCTTCATAAGTCCTATTTAACTATCCTTTTCAATACTATTTCCTGAAAGCACTCTTCACAAGCCCTCACTCCAGTCCAACTAAACTTATTGATCCTCCAGAAACACATCCCAAGGTTTCCTGAATTTTTTCATTTACTCATTCTGGTTCCTTAGTATGGAATTACTTCCATTCCTCATTGATGTATTTTCCATCAATTCTAAGAGAAATTGCTTTACATTTTCTAAAAGCCCAGAATTTATTTCATATAATATTATTATGCTTTCTTTATTGTGTACATATGTGATTGGGTCATTATACAAATTGTTCCTTTTCTTCTTTTTAACTCTATGGGGATAGTTGTATCTCCTTGACCATTAACTGATGTTTTTATTTCGGGATTATAAATATGCTTAGAACTAGGACTATTTAATTTATATTTTCTTTAAGCAGCAGTTAGAGTCCTGATATAGACTATATTTCTCAACAGAAGTGAAACAAATTAATCCAGCAAGTGACATTTTCTATGGCATGTTTTATGCCCAGCTTGTCACTAGTAATTGAAACAAAAAGTAGAGTGGTTTTAAACCTTACTGATAGGATATCACTTTACTGTGGTTTGTCAATTTCTGCTTCTCTTCCTCTTTCTGAACAGTTTGTGATTCAGATAAGGAACCAAAGTTTAGTTGAAAAAATAGTGTGGATTAGTTCAGGTAGCGGGAGTGACAGAATAGAGATGAAACCTGTGATAATGACACTTGCAATTTTTAGGGATACTTTTGATCTTCTCCTCCTAATTTGAACTGTTTTATGTACATTTCACAAAGACAAAGACAGGCAGTTTTTAAAATCTCATTTTATGTGGCCTCAGTTTCTACAAAGAGTGCTATAAAATTGTCAAGTCTTTGTTAACAAACCTTTTCTAAACTACAATTTGTCTGTGTATGCATGGTCACTAAACTAATAAATACAAATGTTTACTAGAATATTTAATAGAAATGTATCACCAAAACCTCTGATCCATTTCCTAGAATATTTCAGGTTAAATTTAATTTTCTCCCACTAAAATATCTTATAATTTTTTGTCTTTTACTCATGCCACATTTGTTTATATATATTAACATTCTTTTTCTCAGAGTAGGAATGAACAATTTTCATGAAGGCGTGTGCAAGTTTAGGCCCTGAGAAGCAAGTTCCAATATGGGGGAAAAAACATTCAAAAGCTTTACTGGGGAAAATATTTGTGAGGGCAAATTCAAAGGTCAGGGTGGGGTGGTGCTGGGAAAGCTGTTAGTCCACAAAGCAGGTCTGACATGTGAAAAAGAAGAGGAAGGAAAGAAGTTGAACTGGAAGAGCTTTAGGTTGCAATGTAGTTCTAGGGTATTTGGCAAAGCTTTTGGGGTTCTTCAAGCCACAGGTCCCTGGTAGAGGAGTCCTGCATCTCCAAGTAATGAACTTGCCTCAGTTTCCCTGTTGTGCTCAGTCATCTGCAGAGGGAGAGTTGCCACACCCCAGATGTGTGAATGGATCTTGGAATCCAGCAGCTGGGGCTTTGATCAATAATACTGTAATGTCAGATAATGGAGAAAGCATTTTTATGGCATCTACAGAACCCACATGAAAAACATTTCATTAAAAGATAAAATGGGAAGTTATACATACATTTGTCTCGAGTCAGAGAAATGGGGAGTTATACATACATTTGCTCTCGAGTTAAAGAATTACATGGAAGCTTTCTCACACCATTTGGATATTGTAAGGTATATATGTTTGTATTATGCTATTATTTTTGTTAGAATATCCCATTAGTTTTTTTCCTTAGAAAGTATATTACAATACTGAAAATGAACTGACCCTTCACGCCTATCTTTGAGGGCAGATAAGAACAAGGTTGGACAGGTATTATCATCAACCACAGCAACTACTAGGGAAAGAGCTTCAAAGGATAGATTGGAAGGTGTCTTTTTAAAAGAAGTAATGGCACCAAATTGAGCCTTAAATTCTGCTGCAAAGAAAAAAAAGAGGAACAAGAACATAGCCTGGTCTAAAAAATAGCACAATGGCTCCAATAAATGTGTGGTTGGTTCTGCGATAATTCCTGAAAAAAGTCAAGTCTTTCAAGAACTGCCCGTCATTTGTTAGATGCCATGTCAGGCCCTTATAAACTATCACCTGAGAAGACCAGTTGTTCTCTCAGAAATCTTAGAGTTTTACGAGGCAGAGTTTGGAGTCTTGTCTCTTAAAAACTGAAAGTTGTGAATTTTTGGCTCTAATTTGTAAACTTAAATAAAAATTTAATGAGCTAATGCCAAAATAATACACTTGAGAGGCACAATTAGTGGTATTTGGCCAGCGAGGAAATGGTGGCAATTACACACAAGAGACATAATATGTTTATGTTTTTTTGCCAAACGTGTCTTAAGTTGTGTCAGTGGCAAAGACAAGCTGGTGTTTCCACTAGAAATTAGAAAAGCCTCACACCCCTGGGTTCTTTATATCATCAAAGAAGAAACCCATATTTAATTCTGATTATGGTATAAGTAACAGTATAATTATTTTTCTTATCCATATTTGCTATGTGTCATTTACTATAATCTATTTCATTATATATTTGATATATTGATATTGGTATGGTCATATCTACTTCCAAACATTGTCTCAGTTACCAGGTTGTATGTAGTGCCCTAAGCCACTGGTGACATTTTTTTTTTTTTTTTTTTTCCTGAGACAGGGTCTCACTTTCTCACTCAGGCTGGAGTGCAGTGGCATGATCTTGACTCATGGCAGCCTCAACCTCACAGGCTCAAGGGATTCTCCCACCTCTGCCTCTCTAGTAACTGGGACTACAGGCACTTGCCACCTCACCCAGTTAATTTATGTATTTTTTGTAGAGAGGGGGTTGCACCATGGTTGCCCAGGCTGGTCTCAAACTCCTGAGCTCAAGCAATCCACTCACCTTGGCCTCCCAAAATACTGGAACTCCTGGTGTGTGCCACTATGTCCAGCCCACTAGTGACATTTTAAATGCTGATTCAGCCATTGACGTGAACTATCACTGTAGACCATGAGTCCATATGAGAAAGTAAACATCAGCAAAATAAGATTATCCTAAGGAGGCCGCCCCAGTGGTTCATGCCTATAATCCCAGCACTTTGGGAGGCTAGGGCAGGCAGATTACTTGAGGTCAGGAGATTGAGACCAGCCTGGCCAACATAGTGAAACCCCGTCTCTACTAAAAATACAAAAATTAGCCAGGCATGGTGAAAAGTGCCTGTAATCCCAGCTACTCGGGAGGCTGAGGCAGGATAATCTCTTGAACCCAGGAGACGGAGGTTGCAGTGAGCCAAGACTGCGCCACTGCACTCCAGCCTGGGCAACAGAGCAAGACTCCATCTGAAAAAAAAAAAATTATCCTAAGGAAACATGAAAATCTTTTCTCTTAGGAAGAGTTCTTAATTTTTTTTTTTTTTTCTTGAAGTAGAAGCTGTTGTAATGATGGGTAGACAATCAACTGGGCTTGCAATGTGGGCTTGACTGTAGGTGCAATATCCATCACATTGACCTCTGCATTTACTATATTTCACCAATGAACAAAAAGTGTTCCAGCATCAGGAGCTGGTTGGAGACACCTACTATTTTAATAATACATGTATATTAACCAGGGATGTAGCAAATTGGTAATGACTCTTGAAGTTGAAAATTTTATAATTTAAATTTGGGACAGGATTAAAAGAGAAAGGTAGTGATATAATTACAAGCTACATAGCTCTCCTTTCCATCTTTGCCCACAATTATTGACAATCTTTAAAAGGAATTAGTTAGATTTTCCAGTGGAAACAGTTTTAGTTCAATAAATGCCATTTTCCATCTAATTATAGTTAATAATAATAATAATAATAATAATAATAGCTGAGATTTACCAAGATTTAGGTAGGTACTAGCATATCCTAATAACTTTACATAAATTTATAAATTTGATACTTAACATACTTTACAATTTTGTCCATTTTGGGTAGGGGTTGGGAGTGAGGAGATTGAAATACAAAGAGATTCAATGCCTTGACTGGGGTCCTGTTAGCAATGGGAACAGGAGTTCAAACAAAACAATCTGTCTCCAGAGCCCATGTGCTCAACCACTTATTTCCCTCCCTCCCTTGTTGCTACTGAGAGAATAACTCCTATTGAGAAAGGGTCTTATGACACTTTTAAGACTAACCTTTTAGAAAATTTCAGAAAAAATTCTTGAATTTAGTAAAATATTGTACAAGATAGACTTAAAGCTACCTTTAAAGTTTTAAGTTATAAGACTTTGGAAATACTTGCCTTTATGCATTGCAGAGACAGAGCCCATTCTGGTTCCTTCTCTCTGCTTTGCAAACTCTGTTTTTTTGCTCACTTTTCACCTAATTACTGCAAATCCTCTCCCTGGCAGATGCAGTTTCTCACTCTACACTATCACACATACATTAGCCTGATGCTTACTTCTTACCTTGCTATAATCCCAGTGAATTAGAATTTTGATCTGATGTGCTATGAAAGGAACAGACAGATAGAAAAGGGAGAAATGAGGAAGAAAAGAAAAATTTAAAAAGCACATCATTATTTTTGGACACTACATCTGCCTTTTGCCAACTTAGAATTATGAAATATAATGAACATGTAAAGGTCTTGACTTGTATTTCTCACTTTATTCTTAAACTTTATTCATTTCTCTCATTGCAGTCCTTGATAACCTTGAGCAGCAAAAATGAGGAGAATGCAAACAGAACGCTAAGAGAAAAGAAACCTCTTCTAACCACTGTTCCTTAATTTCCCAGGATCCACATTCTCATCCTTACCATTCCTTTAACCGTTTTCCTTGTATACACTTTATATATTAAATGGAGTCTTATGAACTCACTTGGGAATCTAATCACTATTTTTGAGTAAATATATTCTTAGCTCAAAACTTCATTTTCAAATATAACCAGTTAAGTTGAGAACAGATTACAGCTAAACAGATTACACACACACACACACACACACACACACACACACACACACATTCTGGATTTATTGTATTTATGTGGTGTAATCATCATCTTGCATCTAAAGTACTCTGATCCTGATATCTTGGAGGAAAAATGAAATATGAATTTGGAGATAAGAGATTGTTGGTTTTGTATTTATATTAGCTAAAACAACTCATGTAGAACTGGTAAGAAATCATGACTTAGAATTTGCTTATGTTCACATTTGTTCTTTTTTTTAGTTTAATAAAAAACAGTATAGGGAGAGAGATGGTGCAAGATGGCCAAATAGAAGCCTACAAAGATTACCCCCTCTGCAGAAACACGAAAATTGAATAACTATCCACACAAAAAACACCTTCATGAGAACTAAAAATCAGGTGAGTGATCACAGTACCTGTTTATAACATCATATTAAGGAAGAGGCACAAAAGAGTGTAGGAAAGACAGTCTTGAATTGCTGACATTACCATTTTCCCATTCCCCAGTAGTAACAATGGCTGACTGGCCTGGAGAGAGTATCTGTGCATTTAGGGAAGGGATAGCACAATGATTGTGGAACTTGGCATTGTAACTCAGTGCTGCCCTGTCACAGTCAAAAGCAGCACAGGGCAGAACTCGGCCAGTGTCCATGGAAGGAGCATTAAGACCAGCCCTAGCCAGAGGCAAATAGTCTATCTCAAGATTGGAACCTGAGCCCTGGCAAGCCCTGCCACTGTGGAAGAAAGTGCTCTGGAGTCCTAATTAACTTGAAAGACAGCCTAGGTCACAGGACTGCAATTCCTGGGCAAGACCTTGTACCGTGTTGGGCTCAGAACCAGTGGACTTGGGGTGAACATGACCTAGCAAGACACCAGCTGGGGCTTCCAAGGGAGTGCTTGCATTAGCCCTCCTTCAACCCCAGGCACTGCAGCTCACACTTCAGGAAGGGACTCCTTAAATCCTTCCTCCTAATTAGGAGGAATTTTGCAAACTATACAAATACATGGAAACTAAATACTGTGCTGCTGAATTACCAGTGGGTCAATGAAGAGATTAAGAAGGAAATTTAAAAATTTATTGAAACAAAGATGGAAACACAACATACCAAAACCTATAGGAGCAGTACTAAGAGGAAAGATTATAGCAATGTGTCTAAAAGCAAAAAAGTAAAAAAAAAAAAAAAAACTTTCAATAAGCAACCTAATGATGCATCTTAAAAAATTAGATGGGTGAAAGCAAACCAAACCCAAAATTAGCAGAAGAAAAGGAATAGTAAAATCAGAGGGTAAATAAATGAAATTGAAACAAGAAACAATACAAAAGAGCAATAAAATGAAAAGTTGTTTTTTTAAAAAAAGATAAACAAAATTGACGTTTAGCCTAACTGAGAAAAGCAGAGAGAAGACCCAACTAGAAGAGAAGAAGGAGACATTACACCAATAACACAGAAATTCAAAGGATCATTAGAAGCTACTACAAGCAACTATATGCTACTAAACTGGAAAACCTAGAAGTAACAGATACATACAACCTACCAAGATTAAGCCATGAAGAAATCCAAAACTTGAACAGAACACTAACAGGTAATGAGATCAAAGCTGAAATAAAATGTCTCCCAGCAAAGAAAAGCCTAGGAACTCATGGCTTATCTGCTGAATATTACCAAACATTTAAAAAAATACCAATTCTCCTCAAACTGTTCCAAAAAATAGGGGAGGAGGGAATGCTTCCAAACTCATTCTATGAGGCCTGTATTACCCTGATACCAAAACCAGGGAAAGATATCAAGGAAAGAAAACTACAGGTCCAGATTCCCAATGAATATTGATGCAAAAATCCTTAACAAAATATAAGCAATCCAGATTTAAAAATACATTTAAAAGATCATTCATTGTGACCAAGTGGGATTTATCTCAAGGATGGTTCAACATATACAAATATACAACATATACAAATCAGTGTGATCCCTCATATCAACAGAATGAAGAACAAAAAACATATGATAATTTCAGTTGATGCTAAAAAAGCACTTGGTAAAATTCAACATCTCTTAATGATAAAAAACCCCCAAATAACTGGGGATAGAAAGGACATAGGTCAATACAATAAAAGCTGTATACGACAGATCCACAGGTGGTATCATACTGAATAGGGAAAAACTGGAAACCTTTGATCTAAGATCTGGTAGATGAAAATGATGCCCACTTTCACCAGTTATTCAACATAGTACTGGAAGTCCTGGCTAAAGCAATCAGATAAAAGAAAGAAATAAAAGCGCATCCAAATTAGAAAGGAAGCCATATTATCCTGTGTGCAAATGGTATGATCTTATATTTGAAAAAAAAAAAAACAAAACAAAACTGAAGACTTCACCAAATAACTATTAGAAATGATAAATTTCAGTAAAGTTGCAGGATACAAAATCAACATACCCAAATCAGTAGCATTTCTATATGCTAACAATGAACAATTTGAAACAGGAATCAAGAAAGTAATCCCATTTATAATAGCTACAAACAAAATAAAATAGCAGAATATATAAGGAGCTCAAACAAGTCAGTAGAAAAATATAATCCGATTAAAAATGGGCAAAAAGTTGTAAAAAAAACAACAACAAGATCATGCCTTTTGCAGGAACATAGGTGGAGTTGGAAGCCATTGTCTTTAGCAAACACAGGAACAGAAAACCAAATACCCACATGTTCTCACTTATAAGTGGGAGCTAAATGATGAGAACACATGAACACACAGAGGAGAACACCACGCACTGGAGTCTACGGGAGGGTGGAGGGATAAGGGTGGGCGGAGGTAGAGTCAGGAAAAATAACTACTGGATACTAGGCTTAATACCTGGGTGATGAAATAATCTGTACAAGAAACCCCCATGACACAAGTTTACCTATATAACAAACCTGCACATGTACCCGTAAACTTAAAAGTTAAATTTAAAAAAAATTAAAATTAAAAAAATAAAAATGGACAAAAGATATAGATATTTCTCAAAAGAAGATATACAAATGGCAAACGGGTATATAAAAAGGTGTTCAATATCATTGACCATCAGATAAATGCAAATAAAAACTATGGTGAAATGGCCAGGTGCCCTGGCTCACGCCTGTAATCGCAATACTTTGGGAGGCCGAGTCAGGCAGATCACGAGGTCAGGAGATCGAGAGCATCCTGGCTAACACGGTGAAACGCCATCTCTACTAAAAATATAAAAAATTAGCCGGACGTGGTCGCGGGCGCCTGTACTCCCAGCTACTCGGAAGGCTGAGGCAGGAGAATGGCGTTAACCCGGAAGGTGGAGCTTGCAGTGAGCCGAGATCGCGCCACTGCACTCCAGACTGGGCGACAGAGAGAGACTCCGTCTCAAACAAAACCAAACCAAAACCCAAAACAAAACAAAAAACAAAAACAAAACAAAACCAAAAAACTACAATGAAATATCATTTCACCCCCGTTAAAATAGCTTTTATCCAAAAGATAGGCAATAATGAATGATGGCATGGATTTGCATAAAAGGGAACCCTGTACACTGTTGAGGGGAATAAGTTGGTAAAACCACTGTGGAGAACAGTTGGGAGGTTCCTCAAAATCTAAAAATGGAACTGACATATGATCCAACAATCTTTCTGCTAGGTATACCCAAAAGAAAGGAAATCAGTATATCAAAGAAATATCTGGATTCCCATGTTTGTTGCAGGACTGTTCACAATAGGCAAGATTTGGAAGCAAGAGGTGTCCACCAACAGATGAATGAATAAAGAAAATGTACATATACCCAACAGAATACTGTTCAACTATAAAAAGGAATGAGATCCTGTCACTTGCAACAACATAGATGGAACTGGAGGACATTACATTAAGTGAAATAAGCCAGGCACAGAAAGATAATTTTCTCATGTTCTCATTTATTTGTGGAAGCTAAAATTGAAATAATGGAGACAGAGAGTAGAATGATGTTTACCAGAGGTTGGGAAGCGTAGTAGGAGGCAGGGAAGTGGGATGGTAAATGGGTACAAAAATATAGTTCGATGGAATGAATAAGATCTAGTACTTGATAGCACAACGCGTAACTATAGCCAACAATAACTTATTATACATTTTTAAATAACTAAAAGGGTATAGAGTGTTTGTAACACAAAGAAAGGATAAATGCATTTACCCCAATGTGATTATTACACATTGTATGCCTGTATACAAATATCTCATATACTCGGTAAATATATACACATCCTATATACCCACAAAAAATTAAAAGTACAGATAAGTTATGAGGAAAAATGTACAAAATACATAACAGAGGAATTGCTTGGTGAGATTTAACAAATAGAAATTCTTGTTGGACAGGAGAAAACACATCCATCAGAAAGATATTTTCTCCCAGTTGGAAGACTCCTTTCTATTGGAACCACAGTATCATGAACATTGATTTCATTTTGAGGCAGAATGTAATCTTTTGATCCGGGAATTTCCACATACTAATGTATTTGGCAAAGAATGGGAACAGGATACAACTGAAGTTTTGTTTTCAAGTGTATTGCTAGTGAATGGTGGATTATTTCACAAAGTGAATTTTTATCTGTAAGCCTTGATTCTCAGAAAAATAATCCAGCTGAAAGGGACCAAAGTAGAAATGTTTGCAAAGAATTATGTAATATTTGAGCTGAGAAGAAATATCTTGTAGCTATTAGCTCCTATTAAACAGGCAAGAAAATCAACACCCAAATACAGCAATTTATTTATGTTTTTGTTGCGAATTGTCACAAATCTGGACATCTAAAAGATAAGATAAATGCGGTTACTTTCATAAAAATTAAAAACTCTGTAACAACAAAAAGGTGAAATCACAATAAAAGTTAAAAGATAAGTGACTGATAGGACAAATATTAACAACATATAAGGAAAAGAAGGTCTTCTTTACTATAGAAAGAATAGTGCAAATGAGTAATAGGAAGGTTAAAAATCATATAGAAATGAATGATTGAACAGGAACAGATACCTAACAGTAGAACAAATTAAATAACCAATTAACCTGTGGAAAACTTATTTATTATTACAAAATGTAAATTAAAATAAAATAAATATCTGTCAATCTATCAAATGGGAAAGATTTAAAAGTTGGGTAGCAACCATAGTTAAGGATTGTGAGGAAAGATAATCAGTGGTGTACAGGAGACAGCTTCACCAGCTCAAAGGAACAAATGTGTTGATTTTCATCCAACTGTAAGTTTAGAAACATTGTATTGGTAGCTTGAAATTGGTGATGGCTGGTATATTTATACCACGGAAATTGTCAATTACTACCAATAAGGGCCGTTAATATTTCAAGCCAGAGAACCAGTTGTTAAGCATTTGTTAGCACAGTACTATCTATACTCACACTTTAAAATGATAATTTAATTGAAGCAAGCTCCTTTAAGAGGGCTACTTTGGAATTTATAACTAAATTTTAATGTATACATATTAACTTAGCCATTTTATTCTTATAAATGTATCCTTCAAATATATCTACAGTGTATATTTGTGGAGATTTGTGCAAATCTCTGCAAAGATGAGCATAGTGCTTTGTTTGTAAAAGCCACAGAAAAATGGAAACAAACTAAATGTTCAAGTAATAAAAACATACAAAAATTATGAACAGCTGAATGAAGGGAGTTTTGCAGTTACTTTAATGATAAAGTGCTATGTATAACAATATGCTAACATATGCCAAGTATTCTTAGAAATGAAAAAATTAAGTTACGCAACAGTAGGCATAATATGATTTTTTTGTGTTAAATTGGGAAGCAAAAAAAAAATTTCAAATAACAAAAAGATATTTGAAAGGCACAAAAAAAGTGTTAATATTATTTGCCTCTGGATAATGACACTACATTTCATGAAAAAATACACACACACACATACACATATGTATACATATGTGTACACATGTACTATATGGAATTACATATGTGCATATTTATGTTTGTATGTACAAGTGTGTGTGTGAGAAGAGTATACACACTAATATATACTATATATGATAATAATATAAAATATATAACTGTATATGCAAATGTATATACAGTATATAAATATATATATAATTTAAATTATTTGCTTCCTGATTTAAATTTTTAATTTCAACATTTTTTTAATGGAAAAGAGTTTTATATAAGAATTAAATAGGATTATGGCCTCAACTTTGAGTAACGTATTATAGTAGTGCCTGATTGCCCATTAGGGGCTAGAGTGAGAGGCCATGCTTCCAGAATAGCTTAATCTGAAAGCAGAGACAATATTACTTGCAATCAATCTGGGAAAAGAAATGATAAGCACTCAGAAATCTCAGAAGACTTGCTTCAGACTGGGATATGGAGAGATTTATTATCTCCCTTAATAGAGACTGTATGATGGGATAGCAAGTATGGTTTATTGGGCTTGTCTTGAGTATAGAGAGTAATTAAACTTCCTCATTTATGTTTTTCTAGCAACAGTATAAATAATTACAATATTTTGGAAAACTATTTGGAAATTGTAAGTGCAAGAAAAGTTTTAGTACTGGCTGGCCCAGGACTCCTCTTTCAAGTATACTAAATAAGCTGACACAAAGAGTAAGCTATGGCACAGAGCAGTTCAATCAACAATATTTATTTTAATGAAAAAATTAATAGTTTGTTCAACATTTCTTAATTATGAACAAAATGTAGTATATACAATCAATGGAACAAAATGCAGTCATTAAAAATTATCACTATAAAGATCATAGTAACATGCTACTTGACATTTCTTATATATTTCAGGGCAAGTTCTGACTCATCTTGATGGAAGTGAACAAATCTGATCCTTACCAAGTGTTGCTTACTTCAAAAAATGGCAGCATCATTCACAAGTTTGCAAAACCTTGGTGTTACGTTTTCATCCTGCCCCACTCCCTAGCCTCCCGAACATTCAATCCATTGCTCTATTGATTATTGTTATCTACTAAGTATTTCTCAGACCCATATACCTTTCTCCCAGTTTGCCACCAGCTTAGCCCAACTATGATGTCATCTCATTTGGACGATCGTAACAACTTTCTAACTGGTCTCTTAATATGTCAGTGCCTACAGATCTATTCTCCACATGTAACTGCAAGATCTTTTTAAAGCAAAAGCCTAATAAAATCCCCTTATTGTTCTTGGATTTAAATCAGATAAACAAATAACTGTACATGCTCATATTCTCTGCCACTAGGGATTATGCTGAGGTGATTTGTTTCGTCACTTTAACCTAGACAATTCCTATTCATCTTTCAGCTCTCACTTCAGCATGATTTTGTAGGGGAAGCTCCACATTACATTTTTTACTAAGACAGATCACACCACCTTTGACTCTTTTTGAGGGTCCTTGCCACAGTTGCAATATTATAGCTGTTTGTAAGAATTTTGTATCTATGTTTGCCTCTTATACTAAATTGTCTGTTCTATGAGAGCAGAGATTGTGTGGATTCTGCTCATTATTTTATCTGCCAATCACTACCAGAATATCAGAATGTAATGGACAGTCAAGAAGCACTTTTTTTCCTATATGGAATGATAAATAAATTAAAAGGTGAATGATGCAAAAAATTATGTTATGTAAAAATGAAATATAATTAACTGAAAAAATAGGATACAAATTTAAACCTGGTAGGTTTATATTTAAAACAAATATATAGACAAAAGATTGTGTGGTTTTGTATGAATTCCTAGAGAGGATGATTTTAATAGTACCAGCTCATATTTATTGTGTCTTAGTTTATTCCAGGTGATGCACAAAAGTACATTTTATGCACTATCTTGTGTATTCCTTACAGCAAACCTGTACATTAAATATTATACTATCATGCTATTGAAGCTACTAAGCTATAAAATTGTCAAATGACTGAACTTAAATTACACAGCTCATAGTGAATCTGTACCGAAACCCAGGTTGTTCTGACTTCAGGGGTCCTGTTTTTAATTAGTGCTACACTGAATTTCATAATTAAGGTGCTGATATTATGGGCATCTTTAATCCCCATGGTTTCTCAGGAATTTCAGAGGTAGTCTTCATGACAATGGCAATCAACTGTCATTGAGGTTCCTCTCATCCTCAATCAATGTCTATTGTTGCCTTGTCTCTCCAAATGAGGCCACATAATTAAATAAATGAAATATTTGTCCCTTGGAGCTTTTGCAATCATGATCATATTACAAAATAAAGTTATTTTGTTCAGTACAGGTTCAATTTGTATAAAAACCAAAAATGGGAATTTACTATTTTTATTTTTGGAAACTTCTTAAGTTATAGCAGTGAGGCTGAAGTGTAGAGATTTTCTTTGGGTTTGCAGTTATGGACATCTTTCAAATCATTTAAAGAGTATTTTGGCACCTAATTGGTCAGTTAAATATTTGCAAATAAAAAAATGAAAGCTTTTTGTATCCTTGACTTACTTTTTTTTTTTTTTTAAGAAAGATGTCTCAGTTATCACATTTCGTAATACTCTTAGCTGGAGCATTGTTTATATATTCTTTAGCGTTCAGAAAAGTACATTTTGAGTCCATGGGTGGGGGGCAAGTGTGTGTATGTATGTGTGTGTTGGGGTATAGCTGGAAGTAGAATAGAGAGAATCTGTTCATTTGCATGATCAAATTGCTTACTGAGACTTTTATTTCACCAGCTATATGAAATTTGTGATGTACTCAAAGTTTTTTTTTTTCCTCTGAGATTGTAAAACTACAAAAAGGCATACAATGTATACACTGCTGATGTTAGTAAACACGATTTAATGAATTAGTTCCTCAATGACGTTGTTCCTACCACACTCAATGAGGAGAAACATGACTGTCAGATCTGTGTTGAAAAGGATTGGTCACACTCAGTGAATCCACTTAAGGGTACACATTTTACTTATATTTATCTGGGTGCTACTTAAGTAGCTACACTTTGATTAAGCAAAATTGGTCTCTCTATTGGACCAATGTATAGCATGAATTTCAAAAGGCTGGAAACACTGACTTTTTCTACTGTAAATAAATAGTATACCTTATAACTGAGAAACTCATTTTTTTTGGTTAATCCTAGTGTGATATAGTATTGAAATAATTAAATGTGTTTTTAAGCAATAAATTTTGGCAACCTATCTTTACTACTATATAGAAACATCAATCTATTATGCATTATCAAAAAGATTCAGTTTAGATATTGTAGAAAAGCAAAAGTGGAAACAAGTTTGCAAGCATGCATGCATGCATCTGTGTGTGTGTGAATGTGTTGTATGTGTTTATTTAAAATATCTACATGTGTTTACATTTTTTAACTATGTCATATGCATTATAGAAGCATAAGCTTAAGTTGTTCTAAAAATTTAAAAAGTAAATATATTTTAAGGCTATCAAAGTACAATAAATAAGAATATGATAACTATTAAAATTTCTTCATGAAGAAGAAATCCTATTTGAGAGAGTTTGTCTGGTCTATACTCTCTCTCTAGGATTTTATTATCCTGTTAATGCTTACTTCTTGTTGCTGATGGATTTTATCTTGCAATTTTATTACTTTTTTCTTTTAATTAATAATATTTTAGTGTTGCTTCTGGAAGCTTTTTTTGGCAAGAAGAGGATTTAATGATAAAAATGAGTAAATGTTACTAGGATGAAGTGTGTCATTAAAAGAAGCCATTTCTTTCAGCTTCAGTGTGCAGAGTTAGAGCTATGTGAATCACACTGTGTTCAGTGAGATTTGCTGAGAAAGGACCTACTTTTATTTTAAGCAATATTAATATTTTACTCAGCTTTTGGGTCATTTTTCAGCAAATAATAATGACCATTAAAGGTTAATGCTGTGTTATGTATGGTAAGCACATTGAAATTCTGTTAGCATGTTTCAGAGCAAAAATTGAACCAGGCAAAGTAAAACAAGTGAAGGAAACTTATTCAGGACTGTTTTAATAAAGAAGAGAGAACCAGAATACCATCTAAACTCAATTTCGCTGAAAGAAAGGGCAGGAGAGTTTTTAAGAGTTGTCATGTGGGTTGGGGAGATTGTAGGTTGTCTGTGTTTGCTAATTAGTCTTATCCAAAGGAAAAGTAAACTTTCTTTTATCTTCATGAAAGGAGGTAATTTTACAACATGGAGTAAGGCAACCATGGAAGTTAGATTCCTCTCCTCTTACAGAGACTAGTAGAGAGGGATCAACCTTCCTTGATGATTACATTTCAAAGGGATGGCCCCCAGGCCCTTGAGAGAGACAGTCCTGGGTTGTGAAACTGGCTAGAGGCTTTAAAAATTATTTATATCTCAATGGTAGAAAAGAAAAATTTACAACTACTATTTTTTATAAGTAAATGCTCTCAGAAGAGGGAGGTCAGTGCAGAGAATCTAGAAAAAAAGGCTGTTAAAAGTTTAGTCAGTTTGAAAGAAACATGGGTCACATAATAATTTTTTTCTACAGTGTTTTATAATGAACATACATCTCATTTATCTTTCTAAGACCCACGTTGATAAATGAAGCAGAGGCTCACAGAACTTGGCATTAGGTCATAAACATATGCCTAATTCAACCCCAAATTCAAAATGCTACTCCCTTTCATGACTGTTTCTATATCTATTTTTTGATAAATAACTGAGGCAGATGTAACTGTCTCTCCTTGGAAGAAAACGCCTTTTATTCTTAATTTTCCTGTTTCATCATTGTGTTCACCTTTCTGGAAAAAACAGGCATGGAACTGAATGCCATACTTATTTTTAACTCTATTACACAGCTATCTGGAACTAGCTTATCTAAAGGCACACCATTCACACTTCAGCATTCTGAGCCAGGAAGAGATGATAATGTGACTGATTTTTCTTTCTTTTTAATTGACACATAATAATTGTGCATATTTATGAGGCAATAGTAATGTAATACATATAATTGTATAGTGATAAAATCAAGATAATTAGCATATCCATCATCTCAAACATCAAAGAAATATCTTTGTATTGGGAACATTCAGTATCTTCTCTCTAGCTATTTGAAACTATGTAATATATTATTGTTAACAATAATGTTTTTGCTGGGAAAAACAAACATGGTCTGGCTATTCTTGAGAAGTACTTCCATTAGAGCCTGAGTCAGAAGAGAGCTTGCCACCCACTGAATCACCAGGAGACTCTCTGCAGGTCTTGAAGGCTGCCTGCCAGATACACACTCAGGCCAACTTTGCATAGCTCTGTGGATCTGACAACAAGAGAACAAGATAGTACAGTTGCTTGCTATTTTTAAGCATGCATAAAAATAATGAGCAAAGAAAGCTCATGGATACCATTATAATAATTGAGGCTAAATAATGTATGGCATAAATGGCTTGAGTTTATCACAGCATATTTATGTGAATAATTTTTTTAGTTCTAATTACATTCCCTGATCCTAGGTAAATATAAACATAGTAGGAGTAAAACTCTTAAAAATAAAGGCTATGATGAATGAGTAGCCATATGTAAAATAATTCAAAATTTGTGAAAAAATAATAGGTACTAGTATCAAAACAAGGTATTGCTCATCCATGTTATTTAAGTTATACTTTAATAAACAGAACATCAGTGTATAAAATATTATAAATATAATAATATCTAAGTGTCTGAATTCATACCCATATCAGGTTTTTAGTCCTAATACTAGGTAATTATGAAGGTGAATGGTAAATCACAACTTAAAATTCTAAGTAAATTTTACAGAATAATTTCTGAAGACAATTTTGATAGTAAATAATAACATAGATTTAGGACAGACTTTGGATATGCAATAGAGCTTTTGTACTTTTTTTCCCTCTTCACTAGGTTGATCCCATAAGATTATCACTTCACCATAGTGCTATTACTACTCAGATTCATTCTTCAAATCATGCATTGCCTAGTCAGACAAAGCTGGGCTTGTATCACAACTATAGCTCTTACTAGTTGGCTGATTTTGCTCTCACTACACTCCAGTTTTTCTCATTTACAAAGTATGTAGAGTACACAAAATTTAATGTAGAAGTTTCTATTGAAATTATACATATAATGTTCTTATTACAGTTATTGACAGTTAGAATGGGTCAAAAAAAGTTGGCCATTATTACAATTATTCTATGCTTTTTAAAAAATGATTATTATTGTCAAATTACTTTTTCCAATGAAAACCTTAAGGCAGAAGCATATCAAATTATGTTTAGGAATTGTTTAAAAACCATAAGAATTGTTTAAAAATTAACTCATATATTAGCAAGTCTTAATCTAGTTACATTTTTGAAATAGAATTACTCCCGATGACTGTGGAATATCTATCACCAAAATTAAATAATAAACATTCAAGAGAATAAAGTTTTTCCTTTTTCACTATGCTTCTAAAAATTACTAGAAATTAATTTGCCTATGCTTTTTCCTTGTATTCTCATCCTTTATAACAATTTTTAACAAAACTGCTCATGTAAATGTCCATAAATTATTGTCCTACCAATTTTATCTGTATCAAAATATTTTGTGAATCATAGTGACTCCATATTTTGTGAAATGAATGTGCTGTGGTCATAATTTTTATCTAATCTCTAATATCATTAAGAACAAAAATTTGATAGCTTTAAGGTATGAATTCTATTCTGTATGTACCCTGGAATATTTATAAATACAAAATAGTTCGTAACAGAATCCCCAGATTTATATTTTGAACTGTAAACACATGAATGCTTTCTAGGTTTTCAGCTATTGTTTCAGTCAATATTTTTCCAGTAGTCATTACTGTATGCCTTGCCTTTTTCTAGGTTAATACTATTCTTTAAAAGTAGGTGATAGAAGAAACTTTTTTTAAAATTTTTTATTTTTTTTAGTCCTTTCTTACACTGAAGGACTAAGAAAATTTAACTTTGGTCTTAGTGGGTAAAAGAATGCTTCTTACTGAAAATTCATATTTAGTGACTCTTGTAGTGGGCCTGGACTTTTTCAAATATGCTTTATTACTTGTTATCAGATACTCAAATTTTGTTAAATACATAAACAAATTAATAAAGGACATACTCAGAAACCAGTAGTAGTAACATACAATAACTGATGGACATGACATGCGAAATACTAACTAGCAAGCTGACTGTGATATCAAGTCACAAGGCAAATGATTAAACTAGGAATGAATACTTGTTTAGAAAAGTAAGAAAAATACTTATAGTAATTTTAAAAATTCTACTGTCATGTTAATTTTGTAGTTTAGCAAAAAAATTAGTTTTTTCTTTATAAATAAACCTTTATGAACGAAATTATAATTTCCTAATTTAACAACAAGTTACATTTGTGGATTTATCTAACGTTCTATTCTTGTTTGTAGAATTTTACTTAGAATACGTAATGCAGTATTAATACCAAAATAGTTTTTTTGAAGTAAATTTGCACATTTAATTCTTTTTAAAATTTACTTTAATTTTTAATTTTTGTGGGTACACAGTAGCTGTATATATTTATGGGGTACATGAGATACTTTGATACTGGCATGCAATGCACAATAATCACATCATGGAAAATCGGGTATTCATCCCCCCAAGCATTTATTCTTGAGTTACAAACAATCCAACTAAACGTTTTTAGTTATTTTAAAACATACAATTAAATTATTATTGACTAAAGCTCCTTGTTGTGCTGTCGAATACAGGGTCTTATTCATTCTATTTTTTGTACCCATTAGCCATCCCTACCACCACCCCCCAACCCGCCCAACTACCATTCCCAGCCTCTGGTCTATTCTCTATCTCCATGAGCTCAAATTTTGTGATTTTTAGACACCACAAATAGGTAAGAACAGGTGATATTTGTCTTTCTGTGCCTGGCTTATTTCACTTAAAATGTTGACCTCCGGTTCCATCTGTGTTGTTGCAAATGACAGACTCACATTCTTTTTTATGTCTGAATAGTACTCCATTGTGTACATGCACCACATTTTCTTTATCTATTCATCTGATGATGGATACTTAGATTGCTTACAAATTCTGGCTATTGTGAACAGTTCTGCAACAAACATAGGAGTGTAAATGTCTTTTCAATATACTGATGTCCTTTCTTTTGGGTAAAAACCCAGCAGTGGGATTGCTAGATCATATGGAAGCTCTATTTTTAGTTTTTGGAAGAACCTGCAAACTCTTCTCCATAGTGGTTCTACTAAGTTAACTTCTAACAAAAAGTGTATGAAGGTTTCATTTTCTCCACATCCTCCTGGCATTTGATATTGCCCATCGTTGGGATATAAGCCATTTTAACTGGGGTGAAATGATACCTCATTTTAGTTTTGATTTGTATTTTTTTAATGACCGATGATGTTGGGCACCTTTTTATATGCCTGTTTGCATTTGTATGTCTTCTTTTGAGAAATGTCTATTCAAATCTTTTACCCATATTTTGATTGGATTATTAAATGTTTTCTCATAGGATTGTTTTGAGCTCCTTATATGTTCTGGTTATTAATCCCTGTCAGTGGGTAGTTTGCAAATATTTTCCCCCATTTTGTGGGTTGTCTCTCCACTTCCTTGATTGTTTCCTTTTCTGTGCAGCAGCTTTCTAACTTGATGTGATCCCATTTGTTCATTTTTGCTTGGGTTGCGTGTGCCTGTGGGGTATTACTCAAGATATCTTTGCCCAGTTGAATTGTCTTCGAGAATTTCCTCAATGTTTTATTTTAGTAGTTTTATAGTTTGAGATTTTAGATTTACGTCTTCAATCCATTTTTATTTGACTTTTGTAGGTGGTGAGAGATAGATGTCTAGTTTCATTCTTCTGCATATGGATATCCAGTTTTCCCAGCACCGTTTATTGAAGAGACTATATTTTCCCTAGTGTACATTCTTGGCATCTTGTTAAACATGATTTCACTCTAGGTGTGTGAATTTGTTTCTAGGTTCTCTGTTATGTTCCATTGGTCTATGTGTCTGTTTCTATGCCAGTATCATGCTGTTTTGGTTCCTATAGCTCTGTAGTATAACTTGAAGTCCAGTAATGTGAATTTTTCAGTTTTGTTATTTTTGCTTATGATAGCTTTGGGTATTCCAGGTCTTTTGTGAGTCTATATAAATTTTAGGATGTTTTTTCTATTTTGGTGAAGAATGTCATTGGTATTTTGATACGGATTGTATTGAATCTGTAGATTGCTCTGAGTAGTATGAACATTTTAACAATATTGATTCTTCCAATTCATGAACATGGAATATCTTTCCATTTTTGGGTATATTCTTCAATTTGTTTCATTAGTGTTTTATTGCTTTCATTGTAGAGATTTTTCACTTCTTTGGTTAATTCCCAGGTATCTAATTTTATGTGGGACTATTGTAAATGGAATTTTTTTGTTCCTTTTTTATATTGTTTCCTTTTGGCATATAGAAATTATAGAAATTATATATATATAAATATATATATTTATATATTATATATAAATATATATATTTATATATTATATATAAATATATATATTTATATATAATATATAAATATATATATTCATATACATAATATGTATATATGTATTTAATATATATATTTTTTTGATTAAGTCTTGCTCTGTTGCCCAGGCTGGAGTGCAGTGGCATGATCTCGGCTCACTGCAAGCTCCACCTCCCGGGTTCACACTATTCTCCTGCCTCAGCCTCTCGAGTAGCTGGGACTACAGGCGCCCGCCACCATGCCTGGCTAATTTTTTTTGTACTTTTAGTAGAGATGGGGTTTCACCATGTTAGCCAGGATGGTCTTGATCTCCCGATCTCGTGATCCACCCACCTTGGCCTCCCAAAGTGCTTGGATTACAGGCATGAGCCACCGTGCCTGGCCTAAATGCTATTGATTTTTATGTGGATTTCGTATCCTGCAACTTTACTGAATTTGTCTTTCACTTCTAATGGGTTTTTTTGGTGGAGTTTTTAAGTTTTTTCAAATATATGATCATATAATTTGCAAAAAAGGATAATTTGATTTCTTCTTTTTCAATTTGGGTGTCCTTTATTACTTTCTCTTGTCTAATTGCTCTAGCCAGGACTTCTAGTACTATGTTGAATAACAGCGGTGAATAACTTGATGACAAGTGGGCATCCTTGTCATGTTACAGATCTTGAAGGAAAGCTTTCAGTTTTTTCCCATTCAATATGATACCAGCTGTGGGTCTGTCATATGTGGCTTTCGTTAGGTTGAGGTGTGTTCCTTCTGTCCCCAGTCTTTTTTAAAAGATTTTTATCATGAAATACTGTTGAATTTTACCAAATGCTCTTTCAGCATCAATTGAGATTATCATATGGTTTTTGTCCTTTACTCTGTTGCAATGATGTATCACATTGATTGATTTGCATATGTTGAACCCTTCTTGCGTCCCTAGGATAAATCCCACTTGGTCATGATAAATGATATTTTTAGTGTATTTTTGAATTTGGTTTACTACTATTTTGTTGAGAATTTTTGCATCAATATGCATCAGAAATATTGGCCTGTGGTTTTCTTTTTTGATGTGTCTTTCTCTGGTTTTTGTATCAGGGTAATACAGGCCTCATAGAATGAGTTTGGAAGTATTTCCTCCTCTCTTATTTTTGGAATAGTTTGAGTAGCATTGGTTTTAGCTTTTTAAATGTTGGGGAGAACTCAGTGGCAAAGCCATCAGGTCCCAGGCTTTTCTTTAGTGGGTCATTTTTATTATGGTTTTGATATCTTTACTTCTTATTGGTCTGTTTGGTCTTTGGATTTATTCCTGGTTCAGTCTTGGTAGGTTGTATATGTCTATGAATTTATCTGTTTCTTCTACATTTTCCAATTTATTGGCATGTAATTGTTCATAGTAGCCTCTAATGATCCTTTGAATTTTTTGTTATCAGTAGTGATGTCTGTTTTTTCAACCCTGATTTTATTTATTTAGGTCTTCATTCTTTTTTTCTTAGTCTGACTGAAGGCTTGTCAATTTTGTTTATCTTTCCAAAAAACCAACTTTTTGTTTTGTTGATGTTTTGTATTGTTTTCTTCATTTCATATTATTTATTTCTGCTCTGATCTTGATTATCTATTTTCTTCTCCTAATCTTGGTTCAGCTTGCTCTTGGTTTTCTAATTATTTAAGATACATCATTAAGTTATTTGTTTGAAGTTTTTCTGCTTTTTTTGATGTAGGCATTTATAGCTATAAATTTTTCCTGTTAGTACTGCTGTTGCTGTATCCCATAGGTATTGGTATATTGTATTTCTATTACCATTTGTTTAAAGACATTATTCAATTTCACTGATAATTTCTTCACTGACAAAATCATAATTCAGTAGCATATTGTTTAATTTGCATGTGTTTATATAATTTCTAAAACTACCCACTGTTGATTCTAGTTTTATTCCATGTTGGTCAGAGAAGGTACTGATATTATTTCAGTTTTTTGAATGTTTTAAGACTTATTTTCTGACCTAAAATATGGTCTACCCTTGAGAATGATTTATGTCCTGAGGAGAAGAATGTGTTCAGCCTTTGGATGAAATGTTCTGTAAATATTTATTAGGTCCATTTGTTCTATAGGGCAAATTATGTCTGATGCTTCTTTATTGATTTTCTGTCTGGGAGATCTGCCCAATGCTGAAACACCCAATGCTGAAAGTGGGGTGTTGAGGTCTACAGCTATTATTGTATTGGGATATATCTTTCTCTTGTCTCTTGTGCTCTAAAAATATTTGCTTTATATATCAGTGTTTTCCTGTGTTGGTTATATATATATATTTACCAGCATTATATCCTCTTGCTGAATTGACCACTTTACCATTAAAGTGGTGATTTACCTTTTTTGCCTCTTTTTACAGTTTTTGTCTTGAGATCTATTTTGTCTGATAAAAAGGATAGCTACTTCTGCTCTTTTTGGATTTCCCTAGCGTAGATTATCTTTCTTCCATCTGTTTATTTTCAGTCTATGTATGTCTTTATAGGTGAAGTGTACTTCTTGTAGCAACAGATAACTGAATCTTGCTGTTTTGGCAATTCAGCCAATCTATGCCTTTGATTTGAGAGTTTAGTCCATTTACATTCACTGTTGTTATTGATAAGTAGGACTTCTGCTATTTTTTATTTGGTTTCTCATAGTTTTACAGTCTTCTCTTCCTTCTTTCTTTCCTTCCTGTCTTTCCCTTAGTGAAGGTAATTTTTTCTGGTGGTATGGTTTGATTTCTTGCTTTTTATTTTTTTGTGTACCTGTGTAGGTTTTTGATTTGATTCTACCATGAGGCTTGCAAATGAGGCTTATGGACTATTATTTTAAACTGATAACAACTTTACACTCACTGCATATACAAACATGCAAAGAAAGCTAGTAATAACTCTACACTTTAACTTTCTCCCCTCTGGCGTTTTAACATGAGTTGTTTCTCTTCATATCTTATTGTACTATGTCTTGAAAAGTTGTTGTAATTATTATTTTTGATTAATTTATCAATTAGTCTTTCTACTTACAATAACTGTAGTTTACAAACTATCATTACAGTGTTATGCTATTCTGTTTTTCTATGTACTTACTATTAACAGTGAATATACCTTCACATGATTTCTTTTTGCTCATTAACATTGTTTTCCTTCAGATTGAAGGACTCTATCATTTCTTGTAGGATAGGTCTGGTATGAATTAATTCCCTCAGCTTTTGGTAGTCTTGGAAGGTCTTTATTTCTCCTTCATGCATGAAGAATAGTTTCTACAGATATGCTATTCTAGGGTAAAAGTTATTTTCCTTCAGCACTTGAAATAGTCATGGCACCCTCTCCTTGCCTGTAAGGTTTCCACTGAAAAGTCTGCTGCCAGACTTATTACCCCTCCATTGTATGCTACTTGTTTCTTTTCTCTTGCTGCTGTTAGAATTCTTTCTTTACACTTAACCTTTGGGAGTCTGCTTATTCAATGCCTTGAGGTAGTCTTTGGGTTAATTCTGCTTGGTGTTCTATAACCTTCTTGTACTTGAATGTTGATATCTTTCTTTAGGTTTGGGAATTTCTCCTATATTATCCCTTTGAATAAATTTCCTATTCCTATATCTTTCTCTACTTCCTATTTAAGGTCAATAACACTTAGATTTGCCCTTTTGAGGATATTTTCTAGATCTCATAGGGATGTTTTATTGTTTTTCATTCTTTTCCTCTGTCTCCTCTGACTGTGTATTTTCAAATATCCTGTCTTCAAGCTCACTCATTCTTTCTTCTGCTTGGTCGGCTCTGTTATTAAGAGAATATGATGCATTCTTCAGCATGCCAATTGCATTTTTCAACTTTAAATTTTCTGCTTGATTATTTTAAACTATTTCAATCTCTTTGTTAAATGTATCTGATAGGATTCTGAATTCATTTCCTGAGTTATCTTGAATTTCTTTGGGTTTCCTCAAAAGAGCTATTTTGAATTTTCTACATGAAAGGTCATGTATCTCTGTTTCTCTACTATTTGCCCCTGGTGACTTATTGAGTTCATTTGGTAATGTCGTGTTTACCTGGATTTTTTTCTGATACTTGTTTTTTGAAGCCTGGGCATTGAAGAGTTAGGTATTTGTTGTAGTTTTCAGAATCTGTGCTTGTTTTTACCTGTCTTTCTTGGAAAGGCTTCCCAGGTGTTTGAAGGAACTTGCATCCCAAGCTCCTTAATGCTGTTCTTTTTGTTTGTTTGTTTGTTTGTTTTCAGATTCATGTAAATACCACCTTGGTGGTCTTGGATAAGATGTACAATAACTTTCTGGATTACTAGGCAGACACTCTTTAATTTACCTTACTTTCTCTCAAACAAACATAGTCTATCTCTGTGCTGAGCCTGGTGGAACTGAGAGTGTGGTGATACATGCTCCCCTGTGGCCACCACCACTGGGACTGCGCAGTCTCAGACCTGAAGACAGTACAGCACTGGGTCTTGCCTAAGGTCCTTCCCTTCAGTGCAGCAAATTCCCCCAGGCCTCAGGAAGGTACAGAGATGCTGCCTGGGAGCCAGGGTTTGGAGTCAAAAACCTTGGCATTTCACTTGATGTTTTATTCTACTGTGGGTAAGCCAGTACTCACAAAATAATGTGAAGTTCTTCCTGCTCTGCCCTCTCCTTTCCACAGGCAGAAGAGCCTCTCCCTGTGGCCTCCACCACTACCAGCCCATGAGAGTGCCACCAGGCCACCTTCAATGTTCACTCAAAGCCCAAGGGCTCTTCCCTCAGCATGTGGTGAGTGCTGCCCAGGTTACACTCACCCTTTGGGGCAGTAGGCTCCCCTATAGCACAGGGTAGGTTCAGAAATGCTGTGCAAGAGCCTAGGCCTGAATATGGGGACCCTAAGAGCCTTCTTGTTGCTCTACCCCACTGTGGCTGAGCTGGTACCTAAGGTTCAAGATAAAGTCCCCTTTACTTTTTCCTCTGCTTTTCTCAAACAGAAGTCTTTCACTATAGCCACTACACCTTAGAATGTGCCGGGTCACCCCTGAAGCAGCCTGTCTCAGAGCCCAAGGCTCACATGTATTCCCTAGGTATCACTGCTGGTTATTCAGGGTCCAAGGGCTCTTTATTTAGCAGGTGATGAGTCCTGCCAAGACTGGGTCCTGTATTTCAAGGCACTGGGTCCCCTTTTCTTCAAAAGTGTGTCTAGAAATGTCCCAGAATTAGTGCCTGGAATGGGAGCCTTATGAATCTGCTTGGGCTCTATTCTGTGGCTGATCTGGCATTTAAGATGTAAGACAAATTCCTCTTTACTCTTTGCTTTCCTCTCCTTAAACAGAAATAAGAGGTCACTTTTGTTGCTGCGAGCTGCACTGCCTGCGGTTGGATGAGGTATGGCACAAACACTTCTTTAGCCACCCCAGCTAATGTCTCCCTAGGTCATGTGGCACGATAGTTCATTGGCTCTAAGTCCAGCCTAGCACTAGGAGTTGCCTAGGAATTGCAGTCCTTGTATCTTAGACTGCCGTTCGGAGTTACCTAGGACCCCAGAGCACTTTGGCTTGTGAGGTTTGCAAGAAACTAATGTTCTGATGGCTGGGACAGATGATTCCCTTCTGGCTAGGGCTGGTCCAAATGTCCCCTCCATTTGGGCACTATCTGAGCCCAGCATGACTTAATTCTTCACTGTGACAGGGCAGCACTTAGTTCAATGCAAAGTGCCATAGTCACTGTGTTCTCTTTCCCCAAAGTGCAAAGATTCTCTCTTGCTCCACAGGGACGCTTCTAGGGAATGGGGGAGGCTTGGCATTAGTGATTCAAGACTATCTCTCTTGTCCTCCTCAATGCAACTTCTAGCAATATGAAGTTAAAACCAGGTACCATGACTTTTCATCTGATTTTTAGTTCTTGTGACAGTGTTTTTCTCTGTACAGATAGTTGGTAAAGTTTGGTGTTCCATTGGAGGGGATGAACAGTATAGGCTTCTATTCTACCATCTTGCTCCACCCCCTCTCACTATTAATTCTTAATTTAGTTGTACAGCTTTGGGAAACATATTTTTGAAGTAATGTAACATGCTACAGAGAGTATGCCATATTGAAGATAGTATTCTAAACTTGGCATTTCTATCAACTTCATGTGAAGAAATATGACATGTGTTTTATAAAATTTAATTACATAATTATGCATTATATGTAATTTATGCATTATACAATTCATATCAAGTTATTTACAGTTTTTCATATAAATTACAATTTAAATAAAGGAAAGGTATCTATCTGACTATACAAATGGATGTGTAGGCATCAACATTATATTCAACAATATTATATATCACATCAAGTTATACTTTTTTATGACAATGTGACATTATATATCAGTTTCAAACATACAGCTGAGAAATATACATTTATAGTTACGGGGATAGATATGTTACTACAATGATAGCTGTATTACTAGTCCATTTTCATACTTCTATGAAGAAATATCTGAGACTGGGTAATTTATAAAGAAAAAGAGGTTTAATGGACTCACAGTTCCTCACGGCTGGGGAGGCCTCACAATCATGGCAGAAGGCAAAAGAAGGGCAAAGTCACATCTTATAAGGCAGCAGGCAAGAGAGAATGTGCAGGGGAACTGTCCTTTATTAAACCATCAGATCCTGTGAGACTTATTCACTATCATGAGAACAGTATGGGAAAAACCCACCCCCATGATTCAATTACCTCCCACCAGGTCCCTCCCACAACACATGGGAGCTACAATTCAAGAGGAGACTTGAGTGGGGACACAGCCAAACCATATCAGTAGCAATTTGGATAATGATGTCAATAGAAAACCAAATATAATAGTAAACAATTAAAATGTTAAAAAAGGGTTTATTTAAGATGTCTTTTATTATGATTAAAATTTTAGAATATCTAAGTATGGATAGAACATTTAGATGTGGTTCTATTTACACATAAGATACCTTTGAATAAATGCAGCTGGAAATATTTTACATTTGTTACATATTTTCAACATTATAATAAAATTTATTTCAGATTTTCCTCTGACTTTTTATGTAAGAGTTTGAGTTGTTTAAACTTCATAAAACAATGACCAGGTTTATATTGTTTTGAACTGTACATTTAAATTAACACCTTAATATTCAATTTTTTGTTGTTTATGTCATTTTATTTCTGTACTTTAAGATATAGACCTAAAATCAATTCCTTTCTGAGAATTTTTCTCTGAACACATTGCTCACAAGCTAAGATCAACCTGCTTTTTATCTGATTACACATATCACTTCTGATACCCAAATCTTTCAAACAGAACCTGCAAAGAATAACTAATAGAAATCTGAGCTGGCACTACAAAATTCTAATGATAAAGTTATTGTCATTTTTCAGTTTTACAAAATTTAGGATATAGGAAACCAGATCTTGCTACCTCTTCCTTAGAAACTATGATGCTTTCATGGAGTTCAGCAGCATATTTGTTAAAGGGAAAAACACTAAATAATAATGATAGTACATACCCTTATTTTTTCAGAATCCAAATAATAAATAATCTTATTTCATCTTAGAGTCTTTAATAAGTCATGATGCCACCAACTATGGGCAGTTATAATGCCTACTTTTCTCCAAAATTATCTGAATTGGCCCTAAAAAAGTATTGAAAGTTTTTTTAATAGCAAGAATGTGTTATTTTTATGTTCTTCTTTTCTAAGAATGGCACCATTGGAGCACATAGGAAGAAAGACACACCCTAGATACAAGATCTGCATAATTAAATATAAAGCTGAATTAGAAATAAATTAAAATATTAAAATAGTAGAACATTAACAAGAAGCCTTTAATACAAAAAGGTAAGAAATGATTATCACTAAGTACTGCTATTACAATAGTTTTTATTAAGGAGATTTAAAGAGAAGCAAATATGTGTATCTCAATGAAATTGACAATAGCACATGATTAAAATTAATGTGTTTTCCAAATTAAAAAACAATCTACTAGAATTTGAAAGGATACATTTGTAATCTAAGACAGAATGTACTCTCAGAGCAACATCAATCTCATCCTCAATCATAAATTATTAAAGTCATTTTAATTAAACAGACAGTAGACAATTATATCTTCAAACCTCCTTTATTATTTCCTGTATATTAGGAAATTGTATGTAATACAATCAGATATGTGAACAATACAAGTTTTCAATATTGAAAAGGAAAAATAATCTCAATTTATATATATAATAATCATCTACTTGGAAAACTCAAAAAGAGCAACTGAGAATATTTTAGAGCTAATAAGATTAGTAAACTGGTCAACCAAATAATAAAAATACATTACAATTAATCAGTTCTCTAATTAAGGTGATAAAAATTAGATATTGTTAGGAAAAATCACTCTATTTACAGTGATGTCATACTCCAAAAATAAATTCAAATAGCCTGATGTTCTTTCCTATAATGGACTAATGCTGTAAATGTAAATACTTTCAGGGCCTAGAATTTAATTAAGTGTGTAGTTCAACGAACCAAAGTTGACCCAGAAATATTCTGGCAGCATCTTGTCTGTCATAAAAGTCATTTGATTTGCAAGTGAGGATGCTGTGTTAATATTCAAGGAAGAAATTATAGCCTGTAAATAGAGAATAAATATAGATCAATATTTACGTGGAATCATCAGGAAATGACAAGTTCTATAAGAGTACGTTTTAGATGATAAAGATTATGAAGATGTTGATGATACTCCAAATTAAATTCAGAAAACATTTATTGCAATTTCACCTCAATTTCTGACAATCTACAATGACAAATGTGACATCGTGTGTTTCAAGTATCTTAACAAACTAGAGTTGAGGATACAACTGTCAATAGGCAAACTATGGTACTTTCAATTATAATAGAATCATTTTTTTATAGTTCAGAGTTAGAAAAAATTAATTCTGATGGTGGGACAAGTCATCAAATTTTCCAAACTGGAAGATAAAATGGTAGTTTTGAGTCATAAAGGTTGAAAACCACAGTGTTGCACAGTTACTGCCTTGAGTAGGTTTTAGCTTAATTAATAATAATACTCATATATCTTCCACTCAGTTGAATACTTTCTACGGTATTTGAATATTTTGATATTCTATATTTAAATGAATAGGGAGTATATGAGGCATGCCTCGTACTTTTATTTTATAGATTAAAAAATAGTGCCTTGAATTGCTATAGAGATGGTTCATAATTATTAGGCAGTTGCAAAATCAATACCAAAAATTAGGCAAAGATTTTTTTAATGTTCATGTCAGCGTTTTATCTCCCCCATCCGTCCCCTTGAATACCATGGTGACATTCAGTTCAAAAATAATATTTTGAACATATACTATGATGATACAAAGAACTTTCTGGAATGTTCAAGTTATAGATCTGCTCTATTAGTAGCCTTCTTTATACTATGCATCCTCCATATGTTTATATGAATGAATCAGGATCTGAATATTAAAGTGCAGTTGACACAGTTGATAGCTTTATTCCATGCTATTCAACAAATCATATGTCAGGAAAAAAATGTTATGCATTAGAGTCTCCTGACAGATTACTATTACATGTTATCCACCATACAAAACTTAAAGAAAAAACCCTCAAATATGCTAGTTCTAAAGGCAGCTTTTATTAGCCTCTAAATGCAGCTTTTATTAGCAAGTGTAATGAGGTATGTAGAAGCAAAAGTATACAAAAGACATATGTAAGGAAAATATTAGAAAACTGTAAAGAAACGGACAGGCTACAGAAGCAGGACCATTAAAAATGATAATGGCTGATGGCTCATGCCTATAATCCCAGCACATTGGGAGGCCACTTGAGTCCAGGAGTTTGAGGTCAGCCTGGGCAACATAGTGAGATATTGTGTCTACCAAATAATAATACAAATAAAAATAATAAGGTGATGATGGTTACCAAGGACTATAGAAATCTTCGATATGCTGTCTTTTTAAATGGTTATCTCCCTGGGTGTCCTTTGTTTGTGATGTCATTGTGCCAGCTTAGTCATCATTCCTCTCAAAGTACAGTTTTAATTGACTATTTTGTACATTCTGTGTTATGAGAAACAGAGACCCACAATTAAAGGAGACCTACAACTAAAAATAATAACCAAATATGAGTAAATACATTGTCAGATCCTAAGGAGACGGATTCTTCTTCTTTTTTAATAATTTCAACTTTTGTTTCAGTTGTAGGCAAGCATGTGCAGGTTTGTTACATGGGTATATAGTACCCAGGTGGTGAGAACAGTACCCAATATGTAGTTTTTCAGACCACATCGTCCCTCCTCTAGTCGTCTATTGTTTATTCTTCCTATGTTTATGTCCATGTGTGCTCAATGTTCAGCTCCGACTTACAAGTAAGAGCGTGTGGTATTAGGTTTTCTGTTCCTGTCTTAATTCACTCTGGATTAAGGCCTCCAGCTTTATCTATGTTGCTGCAAAGGATTTTATTTTTTATTGTGGCTGGGTAGTATATGTATGATATTTTCTTTATCCAATCCACCATTGGTGGGGACCAAGGTTGATTCTATGTCTTTGCTACTGTGAATAGCATGCTGATGAACATGAGGTCTTATTGGTATGATGAATTTTTCTTTGGCCATATACTCAGTAATGGGACTGATGGGTCAAATGGAACCTTTGTTTAAAGCTTTTTGAGAAATTTTCAAACTGCTTTCCACAGAGGCTAAACTAATTTACATTTCCACTAACAGTATGTAAATGTTTACTATTCTCTGTGGCCTCACCGGCATCTGTTGCTTCTTTGACTTTAGTAATGGCCATTCTAATTGGTATGTGATATTATCTCATTGTGGTTTTGATTCACATTTTCTTTAGATTGATGATGATTAGTATACTTTCATATGTTTGTTGTTCACCTGTGTGTCTTCTTTGCAGAAGTGTCTATTCATATCATTTGACCATTTTTTTTTTTGCATTTTGGGTTATTTGGTTTTGCTTGTTGATTTATTTAACTTCCTTATAGATTCTGGATATTAGACCTTTATCAAATGCACAGTTTGCAAGTATTTTAACCTATGCTAACCTATGCTATACGATGTCTGTTTAGTCTGTTAATAGTTTTTCTTGCTGTGCAGAAGATCTTTAGTTTAATTAGGTCCCTCTTGTCAATTTTTGTTTTTGTTGCAGTTGCTTTTAGAGGCTTAGTCAAAATTTCTTTGCCAAGGTTAATGTTGAGAAGGGCATTTTATAGGTTTTCTTTTAGGATTTTTATAACTTGAGGTCTTACATTTGAATTTTTTATGAAAATCAGTAGCATTTCAATACACCAATAACACTCAGGCTGAGAGACAAATCAAGAACACATCCCATTTTCAATAGCCACAAAGAAAATGAAATACCTAGGATTACAGTTAATGAAGCAGGTGAAAGATCTCTACAAGGAGAACTAGAAAACACCGCTGAAAGAAATCAGAGATAGGGCAATAAATGAAAAACATACATACCGTGCTCATGAATTGGAGCAATCAATATTGTTAACCTGGCCATACTTCCCAAAGAAATTTACAGATTCAACACTATTCCTATTAAACTACTGTCATTCTTCACAGAATTTAAAAAAAAAAACTATTCTAAAATTCACATGCAAAAACAAAAAGTCTGGTTAACCAAAACATCCTAAGTCAAAAGAACAAAGCCAGAAGCATCACGTTATCTGACTTCAAAGTATATTACAAGGCTACAGTAACCAAAACAGCATGGTACTGGTACAAAAATACATACACAGACTAATGGAACAGAATGCAAAACACAGAAGTGAAGCCACACAACTGCAACTACCTGATCTTCAACAAGGCTGCCAAAAACAAGCAAGGGGAAAAGGACTCTTTATTAAATAAATGGCACTGGGATAACTGGCTAGCCATATGCAGAAGAATGAAACTGGATCCCTACCTTTCACCATATGCAAAAATTACTCGAGATGATTCTTCTTAAGTAAACTTTTTCAACTTAAATGCATAGACTATATTTAGTCTATTTAGCCTCTACTGGGCTTTTTAACTTAATCTCTTATTTATTATTTTTAAAGTATATCTTACATATTTCAATGTGTTGTTTAATCGAGTTTTCTGAAAAAAAAAATAGACATTTTTATTTTGAAGAAGTTATCACCTAGATCACATTTATGTACCCAAAACAATATTGGCTATTCTTTACAAAAATAACCATGGCACTCTTTTAAGTGAGTTAGAGAAAATTCCTAATTTTATTCTAACAAAAACTAAATGAAATAGGTATTCTTATTTTCTGCTTGACAGACAAGGAATGTAAAGCTTAGATAGGTTAAATTGCTGTCCAAGATCCCACATGTATTAGTGGTAGAATTTAATTGTAGAATTTAATTAGAGGAGTACCTGCTGTATATGTAATTGCATATTGATAACTTTTCTTCAGTGTATGAAGGTATAAAAGAATGAGTGCTGATCTCACATATCAGTTTCACTTTGATATTTGATTCTTTGATATACTTTGATTATTGATACTTTCCGCCAAAAATGTGATATGGGAAATTGACTCATGCCAAAGCCCATACTTTCACTCTAATGCTACACTTTGCAAACACATGAGTTGCAGATATATAGGATAGTTCTTTATAATTTTTTTCTAACAGAGGTCCTGAAGTTCAATGCAATAAGCTTATAATTTAGTGTATAATTTTTAAAAGGTTTAGGGATATGAAGCCTTGATGAAATTCTATAATAACTATAATACAGTAAAATTAAAATGGTCATAGGTTATTTAAAAAGTCATTGTCTAATTACAGGAGTATAAATCTAGTTTTATCACTAATGACCAACAGGTGTTTGCAATTTTATATTACTTGTTAGACCTCAGAACCTTAGAAATAAATGGGATCATAGAGGACAGATATTTCAGTCTCTACTATAATATAACAACCTTTTAAAACACTCTTGACAGATGTCTAGTTAAACTTTGTTCAGATATTTCCAGTGATAAGGAACTCACCACTTATTAAGGTATCCTGTTCAATTTTAAAAGACCTTAGCTGCTGTTCATAATCTTTCATAAGACTCAGTCGATTATAGATTTTATAGCTATAATTATAAATACTATAAATTAATTCTGCAGATTCAAACATAATAGCCAGCTATAGTGATTTAACTCTATTCCTGCTGGTTCAATTTACTGACTGATATAGACAACATTTAATTTAGAACTCTAATATTCTGACTTAATGTATCTGCCATAATTCTGTCTTAAATATGTAAGAGTGGCCTAATAGCTTACACTACTTTAATGAGAATTGCACAGTAACCCTTCCATTTGCCCATTTTTAGGAATCTACAGCACAGAAAATAAACCTGAGACATTTTTGATAGCAGTGTCGCAAATATCAAAACATTTTGGGGCACAATCAACAAATAATTCTTGACTAAATTATACAGTACTAATTACATGGAATAAGGAATGTTATCTATCTATCTATCATCTATCTATCTATGTGTGATCTATCTATGTGATCTATCTATCATCTATCTGTCTATCTATGGTCTATCAATGTGATCTATCTATCTATCTATATGTGATCTATCAATGTGATCTATCTATCTATCTATGTGTGATCTATCAATGTGATCTATCTGTCTATCTATCTGTGTATCTATGACGAATACAAGATATAGGTCTGGAGGGTCATGGAAGTTATAGAATGGTGTGGGCATTACGATGATTTAAAAGTACTTTTATTGTGGCTAATTATACATAACACTAAACTTACCATTTCAACTATTTATAAGTTGAATTGGCACAATTTAATGGATAAGTACAATTTTAATAACATTAAGTAAATGCATAATGTTAGGTAACTATTGCCACATTAAAAATGTTTAAGAAAGGTTGAGAAAAACAGATTATAGGTATTTTCTCATACTGGAAGAGTTAAATAGTAGCAGAAAGATGAGCTGAGCATGAAATATGGTATTAATGAGAAATATGTGAAAAGTTGAAAATACGTGAAAGTATGTGAAAAATTTGAAACATGAACAATAGTCTGAAAATTCTTACATCAAGGAGAAAAATATGTATAAATTTCTCCTTGTTTTGAAAGAACAAGTTCTCAAATGAAAAGGCTTTTAGGATAACAAACAAGATGAATGAAGAAAGCTATCTAGAACAATTATAATCAAACTTCAGGACCCCCAGTGGGCAAATATACAAGCATTCTCAGAACATAAGGTTCACAATGGTTGGCATTTTCTTTTTAATATTTAATTATCTTTCTTTAACTCTTAGAATAATACTTTCTTTATATATAAGTGCCTATTAGTGATATTTGTGTAATGAATGAATAAGTGTCAAATCTCACATATTAGTTATATTTTGATATTTTATGTTTTATATATTTTGTTTATTCTTTTTCTTGAGGACATAGGTTGGAGGGTGGGCAGGGGAGGCATAACAGGAACTTTAAACAAGAACAGAGAAAATCTATAAATTGAGCATTCCAATAACTTTTATGTGTTGCCTTAGTAAAAAAACAAAATACTATTTTAAAATTGAAAGTCATTAGATTGTAGCAGGCTAATGAGACTGAATGAGGCAACAAACACATCTTTTACAGTCAGACCATCTTATTATTCAAATCCAGTTGATTCAACATTAAGGGCACTCTAAATTTTAAAGGGATAATTTTGAAGAGCAAGTGGAAATATCTGTACCTGAATTCTGGTATTGGTTTTGCAACTGCTTGATGATTTCAAACAAACTTTACAACAATGTTGTGTTTCTGCCTGAAGATATTCTTCAACCATTGAAGTATTCTCACTAGTAAATGGAGCAAGTCAAGAGGCAGAGATGTTAAGGCTCTAGAAGCAACCCTCAGCCAAAGAAGTACACAAATTGGTGGATAAATACTCCAACTTTTTCACCTCTTGTTGGAAAAAATTAGAGGCATATTCTACAGTTGCTTATAGGGTTCCCAGTGAGATTGAGCCTCAGTTGGCCACTGTATTTAACTCACTCATGAGTGTATGTTTTACTGATTTTTCTCCCTTTTTAACTTCATTTTCCTGCTCCATTACCAGGATTTATTGAGTCATCTTTCAAATAAACTATTTGTGTCCACATCCTTTCTTAGACTTAGACTTTGGTGGAATCCCAGGTAAAACACAATTTAATGTTATAATAAGAAAAAAAGCTTTAAAATCAAACAAAAATCTAAATTTCTCTGAAAGAAAAACCTAGCAAGAGAGTACACCATATATATACATATACACACACATATATATATATACATATATACGTGTATATATGTATATATATGTATACATATATACACGTATATATATGTATACATATATATGTGTGTGTATATGTATATATATGGTGTATATATATAACCTAAAAGGTAATTATTGGGAAGCAGTTTTCAGCTTTAATATGTAAAAAAGCTTAGGAATCACCACTCTACCCCTGTCCTTACAACAAGTGAAAAAACTGAACAAATAGAAAATAACACTTCTGTTGGATAGATTAGAAAAATGAAGTCACAGTGCAAAATGCCATATGCAAATCTTGAGAGACAGATGAGTATGGAGAATCCCAAAAGAAGTCAGCTTAAATGGAGCAGAAACCATTAGAGCCATGAGGTGCTAGGAACACTACAATGATAGTTCTGAGAAATTGCTGGTGACTGCATATGGACTAGTGTGAGTGTGAAAAATTCTTGGGGCCCACTCTTAAGGGAACCCACACTTTTGTGGGTTTTACCTCTAGAACATTTTGTGTTTTCTTGTTGAAGATCAGAGAACAGTACTCATAAAACTCTGGCATGGTGGAGAAAATGTTAACTATTTTGAAACACAGCTAAGGCATTCTTCATAGCAAATACCTACTCTCCAGTTAAAAAGGAATTGTCTTATCATACCTAGGAGGAAGAGCATTTGTGCAGTGTCAACCATCTCTGACTTTCCTGTTTTACCTAAGAGCAGAACACAGCTAAGAAACAATCATAAAGCCACAGTCCAGAAGCACAGGAACACCGAGACTGTTTATCATAAGATTATGGAATGCTTACTTTTCTCTACACCTTATCTCCATATCTCCATTTCTTCAGTAAAATAATAGAAGGTCACAGCTGAAGAAGTTACAAGGCACAAAGTCTATTTAAGAGGAGGTTCCTTAAGGAAATCCAAAGTAGTAGGACAGACAAAAACACTAGTGATATTTGAAGTTTCTGGTGTCTACAGCTACAGCAAATATTAAACACAACCCAACTTCTACCTGGATTAACATAAAATCTTACAATAAAGATCTGTTTTCCTCAGTTCCTATTATCTGAAATATCATGTCTCATTCTTGGCACAAAATGTAAAGGCATTCCATAAAGCAGGAAAAATTACTCTGAAGAGACAAAGCATGTATGAGAAACATATAGGTATAAAATTATTCACATAGATAATTTAAAATAATTATAATCAATATGATGAGGACCATAGTGGAAAAGAGACAAAATCCAACAGTAGATGGGTAATATAAGCAGAGAGATGTAAACTCTAACAAAGAAGCAAAGGAAATAGTACAAATAAAAATCACTATCATAAAAATAAAGAATGCCTTTTAGCTCTGCAGTAGACTGGACATGGCTAAGGAAAGAATAAGTAATCTTGGAGACATTTCAGTAGCAACTCCATAAACTGAAATGCAAAAAGAAAAAAGAAGAAAAAAAAGAACAAATTATTCAAGAACTGAGGGACAATGATAAAGGTTTAACATACATGCCATTGGAATACTTGAAGGAGAAAAAGAGAATGGGGTGGAAGAAACAGTGGAAGTAATAATTGTTGAGAATTTTTCAAAATTAATGATAGACTGCAAACCATTGATCCATGAACCCCATTTATCAAAAAAGGATAAATACCAAAAAATATACATCTAGCCATAAAAAAACTGAACAAAGCCTAAGATGTAATAGAGTCTTAGAAGAACCAAAGGGGGGAGAAATCTTTTCTGCAGGGCAAAAAGTGTAATTACATTAGACTTCTTGTCAAAAACTATACAAGCAAAACAGCATGAAGTAAATATTTAAAATGTGAAAGAAAAAACTCATTAACTTATAATATTCCACAAAATTCTTCTTCAAAAACTAAGAAATAAAAAACTTTCTCAGAAACAAAAGCTTAAGGAATTTAAAACCGGCAGACCTACTTTCTGAAAAATGTGATATTCTTTAGGGAGAAAGAAATGATACGAGTCAGAAACATGAAGCTACCTATTGAGGAGCATCAGAGAATAAATAAATAAATGAAGGCACAACAAAGTATTTTATTTTTGTGTTTTTCATAGATCTAAAAGATAACTGTTTTTGATTAATTATAGTAACAACATATTGAATAAGTGAAATGAATCACAGTAATATAAGAGCTGAGAAGGAAAATTGATAATATGCTTTTATGAGATCCACGTGAAACAATATAGTGTTTTTCAAAGATAAACTTAAAACTATTTATAAATGTATATTTCAAACCCTAGGAACTACTGTTTTAAAAGAAATATAATTGATATGCTAAAAAAGGAGAGAAAATGGAATTTTATAGAACTCTCAATTAAAATCAGAAAAGACAGAAAAAGGAAAAAGGAAAAAAGAACAAATTTAATAAATAGAAAGTTGTTAAAAACATGGTAGATACAATATTTATTTATTTATTTATTTATTTATTTATTTACTTATTTCAATAGTTTTTAGGGTACAGCTGGTTTTTGGTTACATGAATAAGTTCCTTAGTGGCAATTTCTGAGATGTTGGTGTACCTGTCACCCAAGCAGTGTGCACTGTGCCAGATATGTAGCCTTTTATCCCTCGCCCCTCCCCACCCTTCCTTGAGTCCCCAAATCCGTTATGTCATTCTTATGCCTTTGCATCCTCATAGCTTAGCTCCCACTTATAAGTGAGAAGATACAATATTTGGGTTTCCATTCCTAAGTTATTTCACTTAGAATAATTGCCACCATCTCCATCCAAGTTGCTGCAAAGGCCATTATTTCATTCTGTTTTATGGCTGATAGTCTTCTATGGTGTATATATACTATACTTTCTTTATTGGTTGGTTGATAGGCATTTAGGTCAGTTCTATATTTTCGCAATTGCAAATTGTGCTGCCAAAAACATGCGTGTGAATGTTTCTTTTTCATATAATAGCTTATTTTCCTGTGTGTAGATAGCTAGTAGTGGAATTGCTGGATGGAATGGTAGGTCTACTTTTAGTTCTTTAAGGAATCTCCATACTGGTTTCCATAATGGTTGTACTAGTTTACATTTCCACCAGCAGTGTAAAAGTGTACATCCATGCCAACATCTACTATTTTTTGACTTCTTAATTCTGGCCATTCTTGCAGGTGTAAGGTGGTATCACATTGTGATTTTAATTTGCCTTTCCCTGATAATTAGTGAGGTTAAGCATTTTTATTCATGTCTGTTGGCTGTTTGTATATCTTCTTTTGAAAATTTTCCATCCATGTCATTTGCTCACTTTTTGATGGGTTTTTTTTTTCTTGATGGTTTCTTTGAATTCCTTGTAGATTCTGGATATTAGTCATTTGTTGTATGCATAGTTTTCAAATATCTTCTCCCACTCTCTGGGTTGTCTGTTTAATCTGCTGATGATTTCTTTTGCTGTGCAGCAGCCTTTTCATTTAGTTAGGTTCCATTTATTTAGTTTTGTTTTTGTGGCATTTGCTTTTGGGTTCTTAGTCATGAATCCTTTGCCTAAGCCAATGTCTAGAAGAGTTTTTTTCTGTTATTAACTTCTAGAATTTTTATGGTTTCAAGTTCTACGTTTAAGTATTTGTTCCATCTTGAGTTAATTTTTGAACAAGGTGAGAGGTGAGGATCCAGCATCCTTTTATCAGAAAAACCCTCAACAAAATTGGCACAGGAGTGAGATATCTCAAAGTAATAAAAGCCATCTTTGACAAACCCATAGCCAACATCATACTAAATGAGAAAACCTTGAAAGCATCCCCTTTGAGAACTGGAACAAGACAGAGATGTCCGTTTTGCCACTTCTATTCAACACAGTACTGGAATTTCTAGCCAAAACAATCACACAAGACAAAGAAATAAAGGGCATCAAAACTGGAAAAGAGGAAGTTAGACTGTTTCTGTTCACCTATGATATGATCATATACCTAGGACACCCTAAAGAGTCATCCAAAAAGCTCCTAAATATGATAAATGAATTCAGTGAAGTCTCAGGATACAAAATCAGTGTATCAAGTTGATAATTAAATCAAGAACTCAATCTCTTTTACAGCAGCTGCAACAAAACCTTAGAAATATACTTTAAAGGGGTGAAGTGTGTGTGTGTGTGTGTGTGTGTGTGTATACACATATATATACACACAGACATACATATAAAAACATATCTATGTATATGTTCTTACATGTTAACTTGATGTTTGTTGATACACACATATATTAATGAAACGGAAAAAAAATATATTTTTGCTGCTTAAAAATTAGATAAATTACCAGCAGTTCATGAAAATTACTCAGTAATTCTTGTTATTAGTTTTTTCTTTTTTTCCAACAGTTCTTCAAGAATGAAAATTTTTCATTCACTTCTTCAAAAATGAAATTTTTTTTCACCCATGTAGTTTAGCAAATGCACAAAAACACAAACTGTCAGTCTGTAACTGACTCCTCAATTTTTATAGCTCCCTCTGCACCTGTCTTCTGTCCATGTTCCATTCCTTGTCCTCACTTCCACATCAAGGTCTGTAGACATCTGTGTGTTTCTTTTTTTTTTTTTTTTTCCTTTCTTTTTTTCTTTTTTTTTGGGGCGGGGGACGGAGTCTCACTCTGTTGCCCAGGCTGGAATGCAGTGGCGCAATCTCGGCTCACTGCAACCTCCGCCTTCCCGGTTCAAGCCATTCTCCTTCCTCAGCCTCCGGAGTAGCTGGGACTACAGGGGCCCACCAGCACGCCTGGCTAATTTTTTTCTATTTTTAGTAGAGATGGGGTTTCACCGTGTTAGCCAGGATGGTCTGGATCTCCTGACCTCATGATCCACCCTCCTCGGCCTCCCAAAGTGCTGGGATTACAGGCATAAGCCACCACGCCCGGCTGGACATCTGTGTGTTTCTTATTGCTCTCCTGCTTTGAGTATCCTGAATGATCATGAGGAAGGGGTAAGACTTCAGTAAGACAGTGCCCTGGATCCTGATGGCTTGGAGACTTGGGTCCGAGCAAGGAGATGGAAGAGCTTGAAGGGAGTGAAATGAGAGGGTGACTTTTACTAGGAAGTGGAGGAGGCAGTATTGAGTTGAAAACATCAGAAGTAGGAGTCAGACAACCAGAAGAGCTCCAGGTCCGTTACCAACTAGGAGCACTTCCTCTTTAATAAAATAACCCAAATGCAGAGGCCTTCAGCAGTCTACAAAAGGAAAATTACAAAACACTGCTGAAAGACATCATAACTGACACAAACAAATGGAAACACATCCCGTGCTCATGGATGGGTAGAATCGGTATTGTGAAAATGACTGTACTGCCCTAAGCAGTCTACAGATTCAATGCAATTCTCTTCAAAATACCATCATCATTCTTCACAAAACTAGAAGAAACAATCCTAAAATGTATGTGGGACCAAAAAAGAGCCTGCATAGCAAAAGCAATACTAAGCAAAAATAACAAATTTGGAGACATCCCATTAACCAACTTCAAATTATACTTATAAGGCTATAGTTATCAAAACTATTAACTGTTAATTTAAGTGACATTTTTATAATAATTTATCCAGCAACATCAGAATACATATTCTTCTCTTGCTCAGATGGAGCATTCACCAAGATAAGCCACATTCTATGATATAAATGGAAGTAAATTTTTTTAAAGAGTAGAAATCAACCCATGATATTCTTAGACCAAAATAGGATTAAGCTAAAAGTTTATAAAATAGAGACAATTGAAAAACACTGAACTGTTTGGAGATTAAACAAAACACTTTTAAATAACATATAGATCTAAGATGTCTCAAGAAACATTAAAAAGTATACTGAACTAAATAAAAATGAAAATGTAAAATCAAAATTTGTGGGATGCAGAAAAATTAGTAATTACAAGAAAATTAATAGTCTTAACTGTATTACAAATGAATAAATAAAATCAACATCTGTACATTTGGAAACCAAAGAAAGGCAATTTAAAACCAAAATAGGTAGAAAAAATAAAAAATAGAGCAGATTTGTTTTTAAAAAAGAAAACAAGCATAAAAGAAAAATTAATGAAACAGAAAGCTGGTTCTTAGAGCGGGCCTATGAAATTGACAAAATTCTAGCCAGAATAATCAAGAAAAAAAAAGCAAGACACAGGCTGACTATATCAGAAATGAAAGAGGAGCATCACTTCTGATCTATTGCACAATGAAATCATAAGAAAGTAAACTACGGACAACTCTAGGCACACAAATTTGATACTTTACATGAAATGGGCCAGTTTTTTTGAAGACACAAATTGCCAAAAAGTATGCAGGGAAAATATATAACCAGAGTTGGCCTATATCTATGACAGAAGTTGAATCCATAATTAATAAATTTTCCCAAAAAAAATCAGGCCTAGATGATTTTACTAGAGAATTGTACTAAGCATTTGAGGAAAAAAATTATACTATTCTTCAAAATCACTTCTAGAAAATAGAAGTAGAAGAAACATATTCTACATCATTCTAGGAGTCCAGCATTGTCCTAATTAAAACCATATAAAAGCATATAAGAAATGGAAACTAGAGATCAATAATAAGCATGGATGCAAAAAACTTCAACAAAATTCTAGTAACTTGAACACAGCCAAGTATAAGATGAATAATACACCACAAACCAGTATTTTAAAAAGTAAATAATAGAAAAAAATTTAAAAAGGAAAAAATAAATGCTGGTTGTGTACTGAAAAATCAGTTAATGTAAACCATAGCATTAACATAATAAGAAAAATTGTGCAATCATATCAATTAATGCAGAAAAAGCATTTGACAGAATTTAACATCCCATTAATGGTTAAAACTTTTGCAAATCAGAAATAGAGGGAAGTGTATCAATTGTGTAAAGAATATGTACAAAAATTCCTGCAGCTAACGTCAGCCTAGATAATTTATCCTTAAGATCAGCAACAAGGCAACAACTACTTCACTTCCTACAACATTCAACATTGTACTGGAAGTTCTAGTTAGTACAGTAAGACAAGAAAAGGGAATAGAAGGTATGTGATCGGGAAAGAAGAAATAAAGCTATCTTTGTTCACAGATGACAACATTACCTATGTACGACATCCAAAAGAACTGAAAAAATATTTTCTGCAAGTAATGAATTAATGTATTAAAGTCCCAGGATAACAATATACAAAGGTATAAAAATATACAAAAGAATGCTATGTCAGCAATGAACAATTGCAATTTGAATTAAAAATATTATTTATGATATAAACAATTAAATACTTAGGTATAAATATAACAATATATATATAGGATCTATACATAGAAAGCTGTAAAATCTTTATAAAAGAAGTAAAAGCATATCTAAATAAATGGAGACAAATTTCATTTTCATGGATTAGAAAACTCAATGTTGTAAGAATGTCAGTTCTTTCCAAATTAATCAATAGGTAAACTCAATCTTAGCCAAAATCCTAAAATGCTATTTTTCTAAACATTGACAAACTAATCTTAAAGTTTGTATGGAAAGAAAAAAGATCTAGAACAGCCAAGACAATATGAAAGAACAAAGTTGGAGAACTCAAACTAAGCAACTTTAGTTAAAGCTACAATGAAGCTGTAAAAAAGGCAGCATGATATTGTTAAAGGAATAGGTAAATCAATAGAAAATACTAGCTTAAAAACAGACCCTTACAAATATAGTCAACTTTTCTTTGACTAAAGGAACAAAGCAAGTTGTGGGGAAAAAAGATAGCCTTTTCAACCAATGGTGCTAGACAAATTTGACATTTATGAAACAAACTAACAAACAAAAGGAATCTAGATTAGTCCTCACACTTTTCACAAAAATTAACTAAAAATGGATCATAGACTTAAATGGAAAACACAGTGCAATAATATAACACTTCTAAAGGATAACAAGAAAAATACAGGTGACCTGAGTTAGGTGACGAGTTTTTACATATAACACCAAAAGCATGATCCAAGAAAGAAAAAATTCATAAGTTGACTTAATTAAAAATTAAAAAGTCTTCTCTGCAAAATGCACTATTAAGAGAACGAAAAGAAATACCATAGACTAGGAGAAAACATATTTCATAAAGGTTTTGTATCCAAATTCACAAATATTATTAAAATTCAGAAATAATAAAAGAATCTCACCCTCCAAAAGTGCAAATCATCTGAACAGACACCTCAAAAATAGAATGTACAGATGGCAAATATGCATATAAAAATACTCAATATTATTTGTCATCAGGGAATTGCAAATTAAAACAACAATGAAGTATTACCACATTCTGATTACAATGGCTAAAATCCAAAAAAGTAAAAAAAAAATTCTAACATAGATTGCTGGTGAGCATGCAAAGCAACAGGAACCTTCATTCATTGCTGGTGGGAATTCAAAATGTACTGGTTTGGAAGTTTATTACAAAGAACGTAGTCTTACCTGTGATCCAGCAATTGGGCTCCTAGTAATTTACTCAAATGATGTGAAAATTTATGCCTACACAAAAATAGCACCAAGAATTTTATCGTAGCTTTACTCACATATGTCAAAACTGGAAGAAATCAATGAAGCAAACTTTATCTTCAAAAGGTGAGGGGATATTATTCAGTGATAAAATGAGTTATCAGTCAACAAAGAGAAATAGATGGATCTGAAAGTTACATTACTAAGACAAAGATGCTACAATAAATAGCCTACATACCATATGACTTCAGTTATATGACGTTCTTCAAAATGCAAAATTGTACAGATGATAAAAAGGTCAGTGACTGCCAGTGGTTCAGGGGGAGGACTAGCGGTTTGAATGGGTGAAGCACAGATGAAATCTAGTACAATGAAATTTTTCTGTTTGAAACTCTAATTCTGGATACATGACATGATACATTTTTCAAAACGCATAGAATTTTACATCATGAACAGTTAATCATATTGTTCAAATGCTTCCTTCCAAAAAGTACAGGATGGAAAGATGGGAAAAAATGATACATTTACTGTGTAGAAACTACAATCTTCCTTCCTAAAACTCTTAACTCCCATCTGATCACACACACACACACACACACACACACACACACACACACACAAAATCAGACAAATCCCAGTTGAATTACATTTAATAAAGTATCCTGAGCAGTACTCCAAACTAGCAAGATCATCAAAAACATGAAAATTCTGAGAAACTGTCATGACCAAGGTAAGGCTAAAGAGATATAACAAAATACAATCTTGTATCTTAGACAAGATCCTGGTACAAAACATGACATTAGGTCAAAACTAATGAAATCTGAATGAAATATGGCTTTAATAATAATTCGTCAGCAGTGTTTTATCAATCTGAACAAATATACTATGCTAAAATGTTACTAATAGGAGAAATGAGTTAAGGGTACATCAGAACTCTCTACTACTTCCTCAGTTTTCTAAAACTAAAGAATCTAAAACAGAATCTAAAACAGTCCTATACAGTCAAATCTATTTTTTAAAAAAGTGATTCTTATAGTTTTAGAAATCACATATAAACTCTATCAAATTAAATTGTTTATTATATTATAAAACTATTCCGTAATTATTTTTAAAGGTTTATCCTAGGATTACAAGAATAATGACTCAATAAAAATATATTGATATAATAAAATATGTAACGTAAAAGAGAAAGAACTATCATTTGAATAGATGCTAAAAAAGCCATGATCAAATTGAAAACAGCCCTTAAAATTTTGTATGGCCTAGTAATATAATCATATTTTAAGATTCTAAAAATAATTAAAAACAAATAAACAGCCTGTGCAACACTATAGGAGACTCATTATAGTGAAGACCAAAAGAGGTATATGCATTATCACTGCAATACTCAAAGTTTGTGGTTGAAGTATGAGTTAATTCACCCAGACACAGATATTAAAAATTAGACAATAAATTTCAACTGTTTCACAGAAAATGGAGTTGTCTAAATAGACTAAAATCTATTGGAAATTATTAGAACTGATATGAGGATTATGTGGTTGTATTGATTTCCTAGGGCTTGTGTAATAAATTACAACAAATTAAGCAGCTTAAAACAACAGAAATTTATCGTCTCATGGTTCTGGAAGCTAAAAGCTCAAAACAAAAGTTTGGGTAGGGCTGTGCTTTCTCTGAAGTCTCTAGAGGAAGATCCTTCCTTGCCTCTTGTAGTATCTAGTAACCCCAGTCATATTGAGTTAGGGTTTAGCCCAACCTAAACTGATCTTGGCTAGTCCTCCTCCTGAACCACTGGCAGTCACTGACCTTTTTATCATCTCTACAATTTTGCATTTTGAAGAATGTCGTATAACTGACAACATAATTCCAATCTCCGCTTTCACCTTCACATGGTCATCTTCCTTCTGTATCTATGTATCTCTGTGTATTCACATGGCATTCTTCTCCCTGTGTCACTGCTTTGTCTTATAAAAGCAGCAGTCATATTGGGTTAGGGTTTAGCCCAAACTAAACTGATCTCAATTATATTCACAAAGACTTTATTTCCAAATAAGCTCATATTCACAGGTACTGAGGGTTAGGACTTCAAGATATCATTTTTGGGAACACAATTCAATCTATAGCAGTGGTATAAAAGAGAACAAATAAATAACAGTTTTCATATACACCAACAATAACCAATTGAAAGCATGTTTGTGTGTGAGTGTATGTGTCCTTGTTTGTATAAAATATATATATATTTATATTTACTCACAAATAACTAAAACATTAAAATATATTCATATATACATTTTAACTATATATTCATGGATTACATATAAATATACATATTATATATTTATATAGTGTATACTTTTATTAAAGATATAACATAGTGGTTCTATCACATCCTAGCTCTATGACCTTAGGTGCTTCCAGAAACCTCTCAATATCTCTGTCAATGTTTCTGGTGTTTTCAATAGGCACCAAGATATTGTAGTGATGATTAAATGTGTGGTATTTTTTTAAGATCAAGTCCTAGCACAGTATATATTTAAGATCATGCAGTTCAGTGAGTAATTGTAAGAAATTCAAGCTTTATGTGAAGGAGCACATAAAACTTTATGTGATGCATTAATGAATAATTTATTGAATAAATATTTCTGTGTAGGGAAAATAAAATTGTAAAGATACAAAGTTTCCTCATTTAAAGTATAGATTTGTAATGCAAACTCAATTAAAACCTAACTTCTATTTACGAAAGAACTTGTTAATGATACTCCTAAGCATTCTGATACAGAACTGTGTAAGAACTATACAGAAATTTTTGAAGAATAAAAGTAGTAAGACTTGTAGTTTTCTTTTTCTCATCGTGTCTCTGCCAGGTTTTGGTATCATGATAATGCTGGCTTTGCAGGATGAGTTAGGGAGGATTCCCTTTTGATGTTTTGTAATAGTTTCTGTAGGCTTAGCATCAGCTCTGTGGACATTTGGTAGAATTCGGCCATGAATCTTTCTGATTGAGGGCTTTTTTAGGTTAGGAGGTTTTTTTATTACTGATTCAATTTTGGAACTCATTATTGGTCTGTTCAGAGCTTCAATTTATTCTAGTCCAATTTTGTAAGGCTGTATATGTTCAGGACTTTGTCCGTTTCCTCTAGAATTTCTAGTTTGTGTCCATAGAAATGTTCATAATAGTCACTGAGGATCATTTCTATTTCTATGGTATCAGTTGTAATGTCATGTTCATCATTTCTGATTGTGCTTATTTGAATCTTCTCTCTCTTTTTATTTGTTAATCTAGCTGGTGGTATATCACTGATGAACATACATGCAAAAATCCTTAGCAAAATACTAGCCAACCAAATCCAGCTGCACATCAAAAAGTTAATCCAACACAATCAAGTAGATTTTATTCCTGGGATTCAGGGTTGGTTCTACATACACAAATCAATACAGGTGATTCACCACCTAAAAAGAATTAAAACAAAAACCAAATGATAATCTCAATAGATGCAGAAAAAGTTTTCAATAAAACCCAACATCTCTTTTGATACAAATTCTCGGAAAAGTAGGTATCAAAGAAATGGAACTACAAGTTACTATTCAAAGAAATCAGAGATGACACAAAGAAATGGAAAAACATTTCATGCATATGGATAGGAAGAATTGATGTTGTTAAAATGTCCATATTCCCCAAAGCAATTAATAGATTCAATGCTATTTTTATTAAACTATAATTTACATTTTTATAGAACTAGAAAAACTATTTTAAAATTAATATGAAACCAAAAAGTTGCTCAAATAGACAAGGCAATCCTAAGCAAAAACCATACACCTACAATTATCTGATCTTTGCTAAACCTGACAAAAACAAGCAATAAGAAAAGGATTCCTTACTCAGTAAGTGGTGCTGGGATAACTGGCTAGCCATATGCAGAAGTTTGAAACTGGACCCCTTATAAAAAATCAACTCAAGATGGATTAAAGAGTTAAATGTAAAACCCAAAATTATAAAATCCTTGGAAGACAACCTATGCAGTTACATTCAGGACATAGGCATGGGCAATTTCATGATGAAGACATCAAAAGCAACTACAAAAAAAACAGAAATTGACAAATGGGATCAAAGTAAACTAAAGGGCTTCTGCACAGCAAAAGAAACTATCAACAGAGTAAACAGACAACCTACAGTTCATGAGAAAATATTCACAAACTATGCATCAACAAATGTCTAATATCCATCATCATTAAGGAACTTAGACAAATTTACAAGAAAAAACCCCACAAATAATTCAATTAAAAAATGGGCAAAGGACATGAACAGATGCTTTTCAAAAGAAGACATACATGCAGCCAACAATTACAAAAAGAAGTTCAACATCACTGATCATTAGAGAAATGCAATGCAAAACTACAATGAGATACCATTTAATATCACTCAGAATGGCTGTTATTAAAAAGTCAAAAAAACAGATGCTGGTGAGGTTGTGGAGAAAAAAGAGTGCTTACGTACTGTTGGTGGGAGTATAAATTAGTTCAGCCATTGTGGGAGACAGTGGCAATTCCTCAAAGACCTAAAGACAGAAATACCGTTCAATCCAGCAATTCCATTACTGGGTATGTACCCAAAGGAATATAAATCATTCTATTATAAAGATACTTGCATGCCTATGTTCATTGCAGCACTATTCACAATTGCGAAGACATGCAATCAACCTAAACGCCCATCAATGATAGGCTTGATAAAGAAAATATGGTACATATATACCAGGAAATTCTATGCAGCCTTAAAAAAAGAATGAGATCATGACCTTTGCAGGGACACAGATGGACCTGGTGGCCATTACCCTTAGCAAACTAACACAGGAATAAAACACTACATACTGCATGTTCTAACTTACAAGTGGGAGCAAAATGATGAGAACACAAGGACACATAGAGTGGAACAACACACACTGGGCCTTTTGGAGGTTGAAAGGTGTGAGGAGGGAGAGGATCAGGAAAAATAACTAATGGATACTAGGCCTAATAGCTGGGTAATGAAATAATCTGTACAACAAACACCCATGACAAAAGTTTACCTATGTAACAAACCTGCATTTGTACACTTGAACTTAAAATAAAAGCTACAAAAAAAAAAGTCATACCTCAACATAATGAGAACCATCTATGACAATCCCTCAGCCAACACTATGACGAATTGGCAAAATCTGGAAACATTTCCCTTGAGTACTGAAACAAAACACAGATATCCACTCTTACCATCCTATTCAACACAGTACTGGAAGTCCTGGCCAGAGCAATCAGGCAAGAAAAAGACTTAATAGGCATCCAAATCAGAAAAAAAAAAAGCCAAGCTGTCTTTCTTTGCTGAATATATTATTCTATACCTAGAAAACCCTGAAGAGTCTGCCAAAAGTCTCCTTGAACTGATAAATGACTTCAATAAAGTCTTAGTATATAAAATCAATGTACAAAACTCAGTAGCATTTCTATATGCCAATAATGTTCAAGCTGAGAGCACAATTAAGAAAGCAATCCCATTCATAATAACCACACATAAGAAAATACCCAGGGATACATCTAACTAAGGAGGCAAAAGTTCTCTACAAGGAGAACTAGAAAATACTGTTGAACTAAATCAGAGCTGACACAAATAGAAAAAATATTGCATGCTCATGAATTGGAAGAATTGATACTGCTAAAGTGGCCATACTGCCCAGAGCAATCTACAGATTCAACGCCATTCCTATCAAACTACCAATGTAATTTTTCACAGAATTAGAACAAAGTATTCTAATATTCACATGGAACCAAAAAAGAGACTAAATAGCCAAAGCAATCCTAAGCAAAAAGAACAAGCCAGAGACATCACATTATCTGATTTCAAGCTATACTACAATGCTATAGTAACCAAAATAGCATGGTACTAATACCAATATGAAAATATAGACCAAAAGAACACAATAGAAAACCCAGAAATACAGCCACACATCTACAACCATCTGATCTCCAATGAAGTTGACAGAAACAAGCAATGGGGAAAGACTCCCTATTAAATAAATGTTACTGGCTACCCCTATACAGAAGAATGAAACTGGATCCCTACCTTTGACCACGTAAAAAAATTAACTCAAGATGGATTAAACATGTACATGTAAGACTTCAAGCTGTACAATTCTAGAAGAAAACCTAGAAAATATTCTTCTCAGTATCAGCCTTGTCAAAGAATTTATGGCTAAGTCCATGAATCAATTGTAACAAAACCAAAAATTGGTGAGTGGGACCTAGTTAAACTAAAGACCCTGTGCACAGCAAGAGAAACTACTGATGGGATAAACAGATGATATGGTTTGGCTATGTCCCCACCCAAATCTCATTTTGAATTGTAGCTCTCATAATCCCCACGTGTTATGGGAGGAACCTGGTGAGAGATAATTGAATCATGGGGGTGGGTTTTTCCCACGCTATTCTCATGATGGTGAATAAGTCTCATGAAATTGTTTTAATTGTTATTGTTTTATAACCAGCGGTTCCCCTGCACAAACTCTTGCCTGTTGCCATGTAAGACATGCCTTTGCTTCTTCTTTGCCCCCTGCCATGATTGTGAGGCCTCCCCAGTCATGTGGAACTGTGAGTCAATTAAACCTTTCCTGTATAAATTACCCAGTCTCAGTATGTCTTTACTAGCAGCATGAGAACAGACTAATACAGTAAATTGGTACCGGTAGAGTGGAGTGCTGCAGTAAAGATACCTGAAAATGTGGAAGCGACTTTGGAACTGGGTAACAGGCAGAGGGTGGAAGAGTTTAGAGGACTCAGAAGAAGATAGGGAAATGTGGGAAAGTTTGGAACTTCCCAGAGGTTTGTTGAATGACTTTGACCCAAATGCTGATGGTGATAGGGATAATAAAGTCCAGGCTGAGGTGGTCTCAGATGGAGATGAGGAACTTGTTGGGAACTGGAGTAAAGGTCACTCTTGCTATGCAAAGAAATTGGCAACATTGCACCACTGCCCTAGAGGTCTGTGGAACTTTGAACTTGAGAAAGATGAATTAGGGCATCTGGTGGAAGGAATTTCTAAGCAGCAAAGCGTTCAAGAGTAAGCAGGGCATAAAAGTTTGGAAAATTTAAGCCTAATGATGTGATAGAATAGAAAACCCTATTTTCTGGGGAGAAATGCAAGCTGGCTGCAGAAATTTGCATAAGTAATGAGGAGCCAAATGTTAATCACCAAGAAAATGGGGAAACATTTCCAGGGCATGTCGGAGACCTTTGCAGCAGCCCTCCCATCAGAGACTCAGAGGCCCAGGCGGGAAAAATGGTTACCCGCGCTAGGTCCAGGGCCTCCTTGCTGTGTGCAGCCTTGTGACATAGTGCCCTTCATCCAAGCTGCTCCATCTGTGGCTTCAGAAGGTGCAAACCCCAAGCCTTGGCAGCTTCCATGTGGTGTTGGTCCTGTCGGTGCATAGAAGACAAGAATTGAGGTTTGGAAACCTCCACCTAGATTTCAGATGATGTATGAAAATGCCCTAAATGGTCAGGCAGAAGTCTGTTGTAGGGGTGGAGCCCTCATAGAGAACCTCTGCTAGGGCACTGCAGAAGGGAAATGTGGGGTCAGAACCCCCACACAGTCCCCACTGTGGTACTCCCTAGTGGAGGTGCGGGAAGAAGGCCACCCTCCTCCAGACCCTAGAATGGTAGATCTACTGACAGCTTCCACTGTGTTCCTGGAAAAGCTGCAGAAACTCAACCCAGGAGGGGGTCTGTGTCCTGCAAAGCCACAAGGGCAGAGTTGCCAAAGTCTTGGGAGCCCACCTCTTGCATCAGAGTGATCTGGATGTGAGACATGGGGTCAAAGAAGATAATTTTGGAGCTTCAAGAACTGACTGCCCTCCTGGATTTCAGACTTGCATGAGGCCTGTGACCCCTTTGCTTTGGTCAATTTCTCCCACTTAGAATGGGTATATTTATCCAATGCCTATAGCCCCATTGTATCTAGGAAGTAAGTAACTTGCTTTTAATTTTATAGGCTCATAGGCAGAAGAAACTTGCCTTGCCTCAGATTAGACTTTGGACTGTGGACTTTTGAGTCAATGCTGAAATGAGTTAAGACTTTAGGGGATTGTTGGAAGGACATGATTATGTTTCAAAATGTAAGGACATGAGATTTGGGAGGGGCCAGGGGCAGAAAGATAGTGTTTGACTGGGTCCCCACCCAAATCTTATCTTGAATTGTAACTCCCATAATGTCCATGTGTTGTGGGAGGGACTTGTTGGGAGGTAATTGAATCATGGGGGTGGGTTTTTCCCATGCTGTTCTCATGATAGTGAGTAAGTCTCAGGAGATCTGATGGTTTTATAATGGGCAGTTCCCCTGTACAAGCTCTCTTGCCTGCCACCATGGAAGACATGGCTTTGCTTCTCCTTTGCCTACTGCCTTGATTGTGAGGCCTCCCCAGCCATGTGGAACTGTGAGTCAATTAAACCTCTTTCCTTTAAAAATTACTGTCTTGGATGTACTTATTAACAGTGTGAGAACAGACTAATACAACAGACAACCCACTGAATGGGAGAAATATTCACAAACTATGCATCCAACAAAGGACTAATATCCACAATTTATAAGGAACTTAAGTCAACAAGCAAAAAAATCAATAACCCCATTAAAAAATGGCCAAAGAACATGAACAGACACTATTGAAAAGAAGACAGACAAACAGCCATCAAACATATAAAAAGATGCTAATCATCTCTAATCATCAGGGAAATGCAAATCAAAACCATAATGAGATACAATCTCATACCAGTCAGAATGGCTTTCGGTTAAAAAGTCAAAAAATTACAGCTGTCGATGGGGCTGTGGAGAAAAGGAAATTCTTGTACACTGTTGGGGGGAATGTGAATTAGTTCAGTCACTGTAGAAAACAGTTTGCAGATTTCTTAAAGAACTAAAAGCTGAACTACCATGTGACCCAGCAATCCTATTACTGGATATATACCCAAAGGAAAATAGATTGTTCCACCAAAAAGATACATGCACCCATATATATTCATTGCAACACTAGTCACAATAGCAAAGACATGGAACCAAACCAAGTGCCCATCAGCAGTGGATTGGATAAACAAAATGTGGTACCTACACAACATGTAATACTATACAGCCATAAAGAAGAACAAAACTGTGTTATTTGTAGCAACACGGGTGCAGCCAGAGGCCATTATTCTAAGTGAACTAAAGCAGAAACAGAAAACCAAATACCATGTGTTCTCACTTATAAGTGGGAACTAAACATTGGTTATACGTGGTTATAAAGATGGGACAACTGATACTGGGGAATACAAGAGGAGAGATTGAAAAACTACTTATTGGGTACAAAGCTCACTTCCTGGGGGGGTGGGTTCGATCATACTCCAAACCTGAGCATCACACGATATGTCTTTGTAACAAACCTGCACATGTACCCCTGGAATATAAAAAAAAGTTGAAATTTAAAAAGAAAGGATTGAAAAATAAGGGGGGAACAGAGGTAACAAAAAAAAAATGAGTGCCCTTCTAGGAAATGAAAATCTGGTTTAAAAAACTATTAAATAAAAATCATGATAATAGAGTAAACTTTTATTAAACTTCTTTTTTAAGTGTCATTTGGATCAGTGAATGAAGAACTATTAAATATTACTTAAAGATCAATTATATATTTGAAATATGTCAAGTTATAATTTGAACTTACATTTAATATAAAAATAATTTCCAGATGGACACAACAGTTAACTGTAATCAAATAAAAATCAAATAACTCAAAGACAAATACTTGTTAAAATCTCACGATGGAAAAATACTTAATAAATTAGAAAGTTTGAAGATATTTGCCCAGTAATTCCAATCTACATACATTAAAAAAAACTTCTGAGTGAAGACATTTATAAAATTTTAGAAGAAAATAATTCAAAGTAATGTAAATACCTAATAATGAAGAAAAGGCTAAATATATAGTACATTAATATGGTAGAATTACATCAAATGTTATGTAACCATTAAAATGTATTTTGAAAAATGTTGAGTGAACAAAAGCATCTTCCTCATAAAATTATAAATGAATTAATAAGAATTAAATCCAATTATTCTGTATAGTCTCAATTTTTGCAAAAAAAAATACAAGTGTGTTTGCAAAAATATTGATATAGCTATCTAAATAACTACTTATTTGTCTTTATTTTATTCTGCAATAAACATTTATTATTAATACACTCCTAATATGAAGTAACAGTTATATTTTAAATTTAAAATAAACAATAATACTTTAATTTATCGGTTTCAAATCCCCTTCATATCTGTGGGTTTCACATCAATGGATTTAGCCAACCATAGATAAAAAATATTTAGAAATAAATTGTGTTAATATTTAATATGTACAGACTTTTTTCCCTTGCCATTATTACTTAAACAATACAAGATAACAAGTATTTATATAGCATTTTCATTTTACTAGGTATTACAAATAGTCTAGGGATGATTTAAAGTGCATAAAAGTATGTGCATAGTTTATATGTGTATATTATTTTATATTAGAGACTTGAGCATCCATGGCTTTCGGTATCTCTGGGAGCTTCTGGAACTGATTCCCACAGATACTGAGGGATGACTGTACTACAATCCTATCCACCTCTATCTAGTGCATTTGCATGTTTCTCTCTGGTAGCACCCTGAGTGCAATATACCTTACAACATTTTAATGTTAATGTTTTACTTCCATTAAATTATAAGCTCATTATAGTACTAGATATGTCATCTGAAGTTATGTCAATTTAAACATTTTTTTATAAAGTCCCAACATTCTATAGAAAGATTGGACATGTCTGGCAGAACGATTTCACTCTACACCCAATATTTTACTCTGTATTACAGTAGAGGGCAATCTGTACCCTTCCCTCAGTTTTGGGATCTCTGGACAAAAGTTACTTATAAACTAAATCCCATGAGCTCCAGATCAGTCTCCAACTATTGATACTCATTGAGCACCTGGATACTGACATTTACTATAAATAATGAAGAGTCGTTAATGAAAAACAAATATAGAAATGTCTTCAAATGTTAAACAAAGTTGAAATATATGTAAGATTTGACAGATAGTTGATATCCTTAATATACTATTGCTTTACCATAGGAGAAGCAATAATCCTGGAACACAAAGTATTTTTGATATGAAATGTAATATATGTTGGGATATAAAAATCAAGACAACAATATTAGTAGAGAAGATAGATCAAAATAAAAATCAATAACATAGCACATAGGTAATAAATATAAAAAATATGCATAATTTAGGTTATTTTAAAAAAATCATATACTTTCAGATAAGAAAGAGTAAAGTATGATAACATGAAAATATACACTATGCTTAAGCCGTGCTCAAATCAAACATGTAAGAAGAGTCTTCAAATATTTGCTAATTCCAGTATGAGAAGACTTTCATGGAATCTAATTTGGAAAAGATTGAGAAAATTAATTATTTAAGTTTAAATAAAAAGAATATATAACTGAACCAAAATATCATAGAGCAAAGAAAGGGGGTCAGAAAAATAGGATAAACCTTACTTTAGATATTTAAGGTTTTTTTCCACGAGTCACTTGAAAATTAATATCTAGATTATTATTATTATTTATTATTATTATGTTTTAACCCCAAAGTTTTTCCCACAAACTATTAGGTTGTCATTGTTTGCTTAATAGTCTTAGGCAAAGATAAATTTTCAAAGATCCAGTTTCTTCTTCTATAATAATCTTTCTCAGCCTCGATACATTGAGATTTTGGCCTGGACATTTCTTTGCTTCAGGAAGTTATCCCATTCTTTCCTTATCAGCATCTCGGGTCTTTATCCACTAGACGCCACTTTCCCTTACCCCATCATTGTGACAACCAGAAACGTCCAGGTTTACCTTGAGGGGCAAAATCATCCCTGTCGAAAACTGCTGGTTGCTAATATTAATAGCATCTATACCATCGATTTAGTGCAAAAAATAAACAAGATTAAACTATTACCTGGGTCATGGGTTTGATGTGAGAATTAATTGTAGCAAAGTTTCTAACAAATAGTAAATGATCAAGAAATGTTAGTTATTTTTATTTGACCTAGGCCCTATTTTATGACATAAAACAGTAATATCCAAGTTTTCTTCCAGTTCTTAAATTCTATGATTCTTTCAGGTTGTATAAATATCCAATACCCTGTAAAATCAATTGAAACTTTTTCAGCAAAGATCACTGAAGTAAAATAAATGCAGACCATATTTTTAAATTGTTCTCTAGACACAAATAGGAAAATGAAAATAGGTGTATTTTATATATAAGATAAAGTATCTTATGGGGAAGGAAGAATATGTATATGTATTATTCACAATTTTTATAATACTACTTATTATAATTAAAGGCTGTATAAAACTATTAATAGTATTTATTTTTATACAGAGTAAGAAACTTTGAGGCACTTTTACCCTTTTCTAGTCCATTTTATTTTTTTATTACATATATATATATATTTAGATGTCACTTAAAACTTTCTTATGGGGCTTGCCAGAGATTCTATTTAACCTCCTCATTTATGATGAGCTCTTTTAATTCTGCAGGTTCACAAGAACAAAAGCCTTTGCTTGTGCTGAAAGCCATTAAAAAATGGGACAAATGGACTGATGCAGCATTCCCAAGTGTGGTGTTTTTATAATGCCCAAAATCCAGAGAACCGTAACAAACACTGTGATGCTTTTATATGTCAGCTGGTACAAAATGCAATAATTTACCATCTTGTCCTCTACCATGGAAGGTATCCTGAATTACTGAAGACAACTGCAATGCTAAAATATTTACCAGTGAAAGGCCCTTGAGACTGTAGGCTTTATGTTTCAGATTCTGTTTTATTGTTTACATTCCTGTACAAGAGTATCAGAAAATGACATTTCTTGCTCACTACGGCTGATTAATCTGATATTATCAATATAGTGATCAATATTTTGGTCTTTGTAATTTTAAGACTATTAAGTTTACCTCAGGTCATATTATAACAAAATAACAATCATAGCCCTGGGCAAGACAACAAATGTGTTCTGTGGTCTATCCCTGGTAAATGAAAATATCTTTTATCTGTTTTCATGAAGGAGATAGAAAGTGATATTTGTCAGATCATATTTGCAAAACCAAGAGTAGAAGCTGAGTTGAGTTTTTAAAATAAAGATACTACATACTATACTACATAATATAAATACACAGCAGATGCATTAGGAATTATCAGTTGCTTAGATTTACATGATTTCCCCCATCATCACCCAGATCCAAATTTTTGCATGTGTCATTCCAGTAAATTAAATGAGGATGTGATAGGGACTTCGACTCCTACACCCTTTTTATTTTTGAGAATGTTATTATCGCTGCCATCTTATTTGTTGCTGATTTTCTATTTTCATTACTGGGTAGACAGCTTTTATTAGAGAATGTGATGGTTAATTTTATGTTAACCATTTATGTTTTATTTTACCGTTTCCAATCTCATTTTATGTTTCATCACTTATGTATATAAATTTTCCTTGACTGGCTTATGGGATACCCAGAAAGGTGTGAGATTGATTTTGGAGGAACTTAGCATTTGAATCAGTAAACTGAGTCAAGATCATCTTCCCTTACCAGTGTGGGCAGGCATCATGCAATCTTTGAAGGCTGGAATAGAACAAAATGGCAGAGGAAAGGCGAATTTACTTTCTCTTCTATAACAGCAATATCGATCTTTTCTTCCCCTGAGGAGCTCCAGGTTTTTGAGCCTTTGGATGCCAGGACTTACACCATTGACTCTCCTGGTTCTCAGTCTTCAGACTCATTGAATTACACCACTGGCTTTCCTGGTTCTCCAGAGTACAGATGACATATCATGGGACTTCTTACATTCCATAATTGTGTGAGCCAATTCTCACAATAAATTTCTTTATTTATCTCTCTTTGTCTCTCTCTCTCTGTCTCTATCCCTCTGTGTGTGTGTGTGTGTCTGTGTGTGTGTGTTTATGTGTGTATGCATCCTATTGATTCTGTGTCTTTGAAAACTGCTGCCTAATACAGGAACTTTTGCTTGGTCTTCCCTACCATAATTGATCTTATTCCACATTTCAGCAAACCAATGCAATTTCTGTAACTTGCTAGGTACATCCATTTTAGTTATGTCTTGATGATCAGGGCAATGAACACAGGGTAGTTTAATGAACGCGTTAGAGTAATGTAAGAGAAAGGTGGTCCAGAAAGCTATTTATCAGCCAATCCCTGAAAATTCCAATTATAATAGATATTTTAATGGCATTTTTGTGTACCCTGGTATCAGTGTCATCTCAGCCCTGGTATTTAAACATTCTTCAAAGACCTGGTGCAACTATCCTTAATTATAATAGCTTTAGGACATCTCTGGAGGTGGTTTTGGAAAGTAATTATATACATAGGCCTGCTAAGATGATTCAGGGTTTTTCCTTAAAAGAACCTGATCATGGATTCTGGTTCCAATAAATGATTCAGTGGTGAAAACTAGGTGAGGGTAAATGATATTCTAATTTGTAACTGACATCAGCCTTTTTTCCTTGTGGATTTTTCATTGTATACATTATTACTATTGACATATATCTATATAACTCCAATCCTACTGGTTGCCAATCCAGGTTTGGTGTCCATAATGATAATTTCATCCACCTGTTCTCTGATAGTTAGGTACTGAATCCTGGTCTCCATAGTTCTTCAATTCTATTATTCCCATTTACACTAAGAAGCCCTGTTCAATGGTTGTGTCTTCAACCATTAACCCCACCCTGCAGAAGACAGACACTACTGAAATTCTCAATGATAGTATTGTCCTGATCACTAAGGCATTTCTTATCACTATCGTAAAGGGAGAGTCTTTTCTCCTTCCTGTGGAACATAGTCAACTGGTGTGTTCACTAATATTACATACCAGCCTGGCCCATTCTTTTCCGAGCTTTTTCAGTCCTTCTTCAAAATGTTGTCAAGATAGTTTAGCATCCTTATTTTATTTATTGTAGGCCAACATCATTTCCTAAATTCAATGAACCATTATACCAGAGTATAAGGCTAACTTCAGGCATCTCTGTTAGCAAATCAAAAGAGAATGCTCACATTTTAATAAACAACTAATATGTTTGACTCATTCCTTTGTCTTGCAATGTCAAGCTCCACCACTTTATATGTCCTCCAAGTTTCTGATGTTATTTATTTGGTAGGTTCTGCCATGTTTCAAGTAAATAATTACTTTCATACAATTGCAAAGAGAGTATTTCTTCACTTGACTCATGATAGTAGATATTGAAGGGAAGTCAGAACTGATCCTGAGGAGAACAAGGAACGTAAAAAAGGACATCTATCTCAGGTTATGCCTTTACTTATTAATCAGCAATGGGAAGCTACACTTCTCTAGCAAAAGCAAAGGTACCTACTGCTGCCAACCCAGGTGCTTCAGGGGAATCTGCTGGTTTAAGAATTTCAGATATATCCATGTAAATGTCTATACCAGGATTAAGAGTCTCACTGCTTCTAAGTCTATGATATTTTAAAGACAGCTGCCTAGAGCAGCAACTTGTTAATAAAGCATCTTTCATTGGCTTTCCCTAATTCTCTCTTTCACTTTCTTACTTAATTTCTTGTTTCCCTTTCTTCTATTCCTATGATAAAGGGAGATTCTTAAGGAGAATCATTCTTATGATTAGTAGGTCTAATTTTCTGTGAAACTTTCTTTCCAACTGCAAGAGACAGGGTGCCATTAAGTGTCATCATGTAAACCTTCTGTCGGTCACAGTGTCTTTATTCTAAGACAATAGTTGGCTGAGATAAGTCTATCAGTTTTTTTTAAAGCTCCTTTGGCAGTTAATGAGACAAGTGACACAAGTCTTATGGTTACCATTGCCTTTATATCTTTCAATTGCTAGAGCTGTTGCACAAACTAGTGCTGTGCCCTTCTACTCATATTATAGCCTAAAGCACCATTAGTAATTGGAATACTGAAGGAAGCCAGAAAAACTATATTAGTCAGCGTTCTCTAGAGAAACAGAACACACACACACACACACACACACACACACACACACACGCACTCATGCACATATGAGGATTGGTAATATATATGATTATATGTATCTGTATATATAATAATGTAATAGGTATATAATCATATATGTGATTACATATTATATATATAATTAATATAATATATTATACATATATAATAATATATATTACCAAAGCATCAACTCTTTTGCTTCTTCAGCTTGCCAACTGCAGATCTTAGGACTGGTTGTTTTATAGATTTATATAAAACAACATGGGTCTTAACTGTGTGGATCCACTTATACATGAATTATTTTTCAAGCAAACATGGATCAAAGATATAGTATTTGCAGGATGAGAAGCTCTCACATAAGAGTGCCAATTTTTTACATACGTGGGGTCTGTAGGGTCAACTGTGGAACTTGAGTATACATAGATTTTGGTATCCATGCGGGTCCTAGTACCAATCCCAAGCATATATCAAGGGATGACTATACACATATAAAGAGATTAATTATGAAAATTGGCTTATGTGATAACACAGCCTGAGAAGTCCCAAGATCTGAAGTTGGCAAGCTGGAGAACCAGGAGAGCTGATGATGTTGTTCCAGCCTGAGTCTGAAGGCAAGACAACCAACAGTGTCAGTGGTAGAACTTCCCATCTGATTCCAAGTCCAAAGGCAGAAGAAGACTGCTCTCCCAGCTCAAAGACAGTGATGCTGAAAGAGAGAATTCCCTCTCATTCAGTATTTTTGTCCTGTTCAGGTCTTCAGGGTATTGGATGAGGTCCACCCACATTGGAGAGTACAATCTGTTTTGCTCTGTCTACTGATTTAAAGGTTAATGTCATTTAGAAACAACCTCACAGACTGACCCAGAATGATGATTAACCAAACATCTGGGTAGCCTTTGGCCCAGTGAACTTGACACAAAAATTAAGCATCACAGTAATCCACCTCATTTGCCATTTGCAGTGCGATCTCAGTTACACTGTGATTAATGAATAATCCAAATCCAAAGTTCCATGTTGAGTGTCTGCTTTCTAAGGCTACTTATGGTACCAACTAAGTAAATTCTGGTTTTCTCAATAGAAAACGTGAAACTTAACTTAGGTACAAGTAATTTATTTGTTTAGTGACCACAGGAAATAGGATGTGAGTATAAAAATTGAGACAGAGAAGTAAGAAAAGCCAATAAAAAATCCACAAATGGACAAAATTACTGCTGTAGGCAACTGGAACTTAATCTTGTTTCAGATGCGTGGAAAGATTATGTAAAACATAACTTAGTTTTCACACCTAGGGGAGAATGTTGGATACTCATACAAAAGCCTCTATGCCTCATTAATTGATTGTTGTTCCTACCTTATTTACTGGCATTCTCAAATTGTCCTGAATGAGTCCCAAGTATTCTCCCACCCTAAAATCAGGGAATACCTGTAGGGAGAAAGATGGAAGAAGTAGCTAGCCATAAGTGAATTATCTGCATGTGACCTATGGTAGGGTGGTGGGTAATGCAGTTTTTGCAGGATGCAGACAGCCTTTGCCACAAATTTCTTTTTTCCTTGATATTTTAGTGAACAGATAAATACAACATTAGACTCTGAAACATTTTTTTGAAATAATTTAAAAATAAAAATGTATTTCCTCATTATATGTGTTCTCAATTATATATTTGAGTAAATTTCGCAACTTTTATTTACTTAGATTAAGATTCCTTATAATTAATATATCAAGTACAATATACCAAAATAGGTTTCTATTATGATTCTAGTGAAAAGATATACGTATATGAACATACATTTAGAAATCTGGATGGATGTTAAATATTTTAACAACGGCAATAGTTTGCTGATAAGATTTTAGATAAATTTTTCCACATACATTTCCATACACTTTCTCCAGCAACTCCAGGAAGGGCAGAAAGCTTTGATACTTACTTCATAGACAGTTCATAGCAGGTAGACTTGCCTTTTGGCAAAAGTTCTTATTTTACTCCTTCCTTCTCATATATAATGGCCAAAAGCGAATCAACTATTTTCCTTACATAGAAGTCCTTAAAGATTTACAAAATCAAGTATTTTCACTCTGTGCCTAGCTCAGTATACCTGAAGAATGTAAGCTGGGAGGGAGCCCAGAGTCACTAGCTAAATCTAAGAGGGCTCATTATCTGCCTGTTTTCTAGACCTTGCCTTTAAGAGAAAGGTGTTAATCTATTAAAGCCTTGGAAATGCTGCTGTATATTTAGAAAAAAAGTCATGTGTTTGCTCTACTTTCATTGTGGCCCAATAGGTATTTTGCATGTAATTGTTGCAAGATATTTCTGGTGTGCAGCTTTTTCTAGTGCAAGTGTGTTTTCCCTATTTCTATATTATATGTTGGAGGAGGGTATTGAAGGAAGTAGTTTTCTCTGTTCCATAGGTGCTCTTGAGTTGATTTCTGATACTCTCAACTTGCCTCAAAGGATGCAGATTTTCATTTCCAACCAATAGTACCATTCAATGTCTCTAGAGACCCACCTTACATACAAGGGCCTACACATGTCTTGGGCCATTTGATGAGGAAGTTTTCTAGAGCAGTTAGGCAGGAGGAACTTCTTGGAGAACAAAAATTAATCATCCCGATGGAACATCAGTAGGTAATATGCAGGATAATGTCAGTAGGAAGTCTTCATTTATGATAATTTATGTGACTTCCAGATATAAACAATTCACAGTTCTGTAACCCCAGCTACTCAGGAAGCTGAGGCAGGAGAATCTCTTGAACCCAAGAGACAGAGGTTGCAGTGAGCCAAGATCGCACCATTGCACTCCAACCAGGGCAACAGAGTGAGACTCCATCTCAAAAACAAACAAACAAACAAACAAAACAACACCCCCAAAAACAATGCACAGTTATCACTCCAATAGTGACAGAATTTTCTCCTGCATTGACTATTTTCTTCCAAGCAGAGCGCTGATGTCAGCAACTACTGTTTTCTAACTTGGCAGAGATGTGCAGTCTCTCCTTGTAGACAATCCGTCAATTCATGTTAAACCTCCTACTCCAACTGCACCACCCATATTGGGTGGGAAGCCAATAAAACTACATAATTACTTTCACATATTTTTGTTCTTTAATATTGGGTCTAATAACCGGAATAAAAATGGGAATCAATATTTGAAAGTCTTTTATATTTTATTTTACCAAGGCAACATTGTTTACCTTTCAAGGCAGATAAAAACATTCTTAGCTAAAAATGGAGAAATTCAAATGAATTGGAAACGGTGGGGATGGGGCACTATGAAGGCTCGGGAGAGAAGCATCGTGTTTTTTTTTGTGTTGTTGTTGTTGTTGTTGTTGTTGTTGTTGTTGTTGTTGTTGTTGTTGTTTTGAGACGGAGTCTCGCTCTGTCGCCCAGGCTGGAGTGCAGTGGCGCGATCTCGGCTCACTGCAAGCTCCGACCCCTGGATTCACGCCATTCTCCTGCCTCAGCCTCCCGAGTAGCTGGGACTGCTACTCCCAGCGCCTGCCACCACTCCCGGCTAATTTTTTGTATTTTTAGTAGAGACGGGGTTTCACCATGTTAACCAAGATGATATTGATCTCCTGAACTCAAGTGATCCGCCCGCCTCGGCCTCCAAAAGTGCTGGGATTACAGATGTGAGCCACCACGCCCGGCCGAGAAGCATTGCTTAATATGTTAATAGAGCTTCCTTTCAAAACTAGTATTAAATTTGTTATTTTAACATGTTAACGAATATCAGTGAAATAAGACATATTTGGCCAGGCACACGGTGGCTCACGCCTGTAATCCCAGCACTTTGGGAGGCCAAGGCGGGCACATCACTTGAGTTCAAGAGTTCGAGGCCAGGCTGGCCAACATAGTGAAACTCTGCCTCTACTAAAAATACAAAAATTAGCTGAGTGTGGTGGCGCATGCCTGTAATCCCAGTTACTCAGGAGGCTGAGGTAGGAGAATTGTTTGATCCCTGGAGGCGGAGGTTGCGGTGAGCCAAGATCGCCCACTGCACTCCAGCCTGGGCAACAGAGGGAGACTCCATCTCAAAAACAAAAACAACAACCAAAAAAAGATCTTTACTCAATTTTGTTGCCACATTTCAGTCCCTATATATTCTCTTATATACAGATTCACTATTACCATTGTCATATAGTAATTTTCACAGAATAAAAGGTTCACATACTGATCCATTTTTAAAGGATTAGCAGTATTAACCTGGGCAACATAGTGAGACACTGTGTCTCTACAAAAAAAAAAAAGAAAGAAAAAAAAGAAAAAAAAGAAATAAAAGAAAAAAGCTGAGCATCGTGGTGTGTGCCTGTAATACCTGCTACTCCAGAGAGTGAGGTGGGAAGATCTCTTGAGCCCAGGAATTCCAGCCTCCAGTGAACTGGAGTCAGGGCACTGCAGACCAGCCTGGATGACAGAATGAGACCCTCTCTTCCACCCCACCCCCCAAAAAGAATTAGTAATATTAATCTGGAAAACAGAGATACAATAGAAGGAACAATATTTACACTTGGAACTAAGACGTTATCTTTATTATATTTCATTCTGCATGAAATTTTATTCTAAATAAGGACAAACTTAAACTTTTGTGTGATATATGTTATACTACATACATTTTCTATTCAATGTTAAAGAATAGAAATGATCCAACATCCATTTAACTGTTTTTAATATTATTAAATACAAATTGGCAAGTTTCTTTTATATGCTTTTCAAAGACTAAAAAATAATTACAGAGGAGTTTCAGATGTTGCTTATCTGAGCGGATGAGATTTCTTCTTAATATTTTGTGCTGTTCCTAATAAACACATAAGAACATTATGTGATATGGTTGTTACATTTCTTCCTCATTTGCTTACATTTGCTAATGCTGTTTAATGATTATGCATATCTGTGTTCCAAGTGACATTTACTAATATGCTATATTCTTCCGTGTGTCCTGGTGAAAAGTATATTTATCCTTAATTATTTTATAATTCCTTCTTGCAGTTATATTGAATATTCTTTGTTCCTAGAAATGCCTTTTGTAGGTGAAGGACATCTTTCTCACTTTTAATTATGTTGTCTCTTAGGAGACAATTTCTTCTTCCCGCCAACAGTTGGAACACTTGTTCTGAATGTACCATATGGTCCTTACTAGATTTTAGATTTCTTCACTTTTGATTAATATTCCTGTAGTGTTATAATTGGTAAACATGTTACATGCTGTCATGTAAGTTTAAATTATTGACCTCTCAGAAAAACATCTGTAAAAAATTTTTTTTTCCTTTGCTGTAAAATAAACAGCTCTCTGGGGGGAAATACACACCTTTCCTGTAAGTGCCTCAGAATAAATCAGATATTTTGGAGGTATATTAATTTCAAATTTGAGCACCAACTTAAAGAATCTGTATTAATTAAAAATCTCAAATCCAAAATGACAGACTTAGTTCCCATTTTTTCACTGATTCTTGGATATTCTTAACTTTAATAATGGTACATTTTATCTACATTATATGTATGATATGCATATATGTTGCTATATATGTTACATATAATGTTATGTATGCTGATCTCCTGTATAAATGACTTTCTGTAACTGTGTTATTTTTATTTAAAAATCAAAACTCTGAATGAATTCCTTACTAAACAGTTCTCACTTGCACCCTCTCTTCTTTCCTTTTTGCTTTGTGTCTTACAGAACCACATACACACAAATGCACACACATATAATTAACTATTCTGAACAGTGCTATTTTTTGTTATATGAGACAGTATTGTCTATTTTTTTTTACAAATAATGTCTTATTTTTAACCAGAAAAAAAATCACTTTAGATAAACATGTGAGATATTTTTGTTGCAAATATCAGACAGTTAACCTTAACTGGCTTATTCTCACCTGGAAATTATTTATTGTCTGATACAACAGAAAGAAAAGGGAAAATTTGCTGAAGATATGAAGACAAATGTCTCTTCTGGTGTGGTTAAGTGTTGGTGTGAAATATATGCCTAAACTGTTACCCTTATGATGGCAGTGTTCATATAATGAATCATTGGCTGTATATTGTGACAAAATGAATCTATATTAATAAAATAAATATATCCAGATGTGTCTTATTGTACTTATATGGCTTTTCCATACTCTCTGTAACAGGAAATGCAGTATAGGACAATGTTGGCAGACAATTCTTGGACACCATAAATGTGCTCAGAGCTGTGAGAACTCTCTATCTGCAACAGAATTGAACCCACCAAATCTTCTTCCTTCTGGTAGATATACTCAGTCTTGAAAACCTGTGGAACTCAGTGGCTCAGTGGAATTGATGAGGATTCGTACTAATGACATCTCACCACTCTTCAGAATCCTAGAAGCTCAATATACTCCTTCCTGATTTGTGCTAATCATGTGTAAACTTGATCCTTTGCATGCAAAACATTGATGTTTCTTGCAAAGGGTTATGAAAGACATGGAGGTGTAGGCATCAAAGAATGTAGTGCCTAGGACTATTTCCATGTTTGTTGAAAGCAAGAATAAGTGAATAGATATGAAAGCTTTCGGTGAGCTGTAATTGACTTGCACTGAAAGTCCTAGCTTCTTTAAAATTAAGCAGAGATACCTTTTGGTATGATACTTCTTGAAACTTTTTCTAAAATTTATTAATTGCTATTTAGTAATCATAGTTTAAATAATGAGATTGAATCTCTGAGATGTTTGTGGAAATTTTCTGTGCTCGTTAACATAACATTTATAATCTGACTAACATTCACATTTTACATGTAAATGTAGGTGTTGGAGGTTGTGCAGTTCATGCAGTAAACACATACCCTGGAGATCACACTATGTTAAACAGCTGATTTTTTAAAATTCTAGCAGTTTAAAAGAATTGTAAGCCATTTGTTTATTTTACCTAGAAATGAACAGCATTTCAAAAATCTACTTAAATTGACTACTGGGTGGGAGTTTAAGTGGAAAATGTAATTTGAATTCAAGGAAATATTTACACTCTCTAAAAGAACATATGGAATAGAATATGAGAACTTTGAGTAATCTAGGACAAAAATAAGCTATCATATAACTTTAGTAATAATATAATACACTGGCTAGGACTCAATAAAATAGTAATTCATTCAATCCTATATTTAGGTACACAAATGGAATCAGCACACTTTAGAAAAGTAGGGTAATTTGTATCTTCTATTGAAACTGATTAATTCTCTATGAAAACTTAAGAGAGTTCAGAATAGACAAATAAAGTGCTCAAAGCATTAAAAGAAACCACAGAATACATTTTTTAGATTAAAAAATATATGGCAGAGGAACTTTAATTAAATATGCAACAAAGAGATGCCAGTATTAAAATTTAATTTAAACAAAAAGATCAAAAAGAAATATTCTATTTCAGAAATGTGACAATTAAATTTTAAAATGGGAATTAAGTATAGTACAGCACTGTTAATGAATGGAAGGGAAATTATCAAATCAGAAAAACCACAGAGTCAAAAGGTAGGAATTCAGCTTACTTTAACGAAATGGCCATAGATTCAGTGACTCTATTTCTCATAGTTTTGGAGGCTTGGAAGTCCATGATCAATGTGTAGGCAGACTCTGTGTTTGGTGAGGACCAATCCCTCATAGATGGTGACTTCTCACTGCATCCTCACATGTTGAAAGAGGCAAGGCAGCTTTCTGGAACCTCTTTTATAGGGGCACTGATCCCATTCGTTTAGGCTTTTGTCCTCATGACCTGATACTAACAAGTTGAGATTAGGTTTCATTGCTTAAATTTCAGGCGACACAAACATTCAGACTATAGCACTTGTCCTTCATTAGATTACATTATTTTACATTGCAAATTTATGTGAAATTTGGGTTAAAAAATTTAAAACTAAGATTTGCATGATAGCCAAGCATCAAATGCCTGAGAAGTCTGGACCAGCCTAAGTGAGTTTAGTCCAGAAGCAAGGCCTTGATCTAGGTCCTGGTGAGTCTAGAGTTTCTGAAAAGCTAAAAATTTAATAACATCCATTAACATTCCCTCGTAAATGCTTCCTGATAAATGTACTTTATGTTGGATATTTATTCACAAATTAGGTCTCAAAGATGAATTTTAAAATTTCCACAAACCTTTAATATCTTAAAAATGTAATTTATAATTTTTTGGGTTGAAGATTTTCCTAACTTTTCCATGCTAAGTAGTATTTGCTTGTTTTCTTCTTTTTTTTGCTGGAATCTATTATTTTCATATTAATGAACAAATGACTTTAAACATTTATCTAAAGGTCAGATATGGTTATTTCCTGCTACTAAGACCCAGATTTAAAGCTGCCTCAGTCAGTACCTATTGTCTTCTCTCTCTAAGGGTCTCTTGAAACTTAAGGCCTTGGACCAGGTTTCCTGTTATGATTTGACTGAAAAATAGCCATGAAGAATTTTTTGTCCATATCCTCAAGGGCCGTAGGTGTAAAAATGCTGAGAAGATCCCTAAGAATTTAACAAAATGCATGTATATTTATAAAGGGGCATTTTATATTTAATGTAATTAATTGCTTGGTTAATCTTCAAAAGTTTGAATATAATGTATTTATAATTTAACATTTCCTTTTGTTGGATGATTCAATGAATAATATATTTTTATGCTTATTACCTAAATATCTTTTAATAGGAATAAAAGTGAGCAAGGACTAGAGAATAAGGATTATTTACAAAATTGATTATAGAAAAATACAAATAACCTTCACATAGAAAAATGGCAAATACAATCAATTACTGTTTTTAATAGTGGTGTCTAAAAAGTGTAAAGTTTTTTATTGTTCCTTTTTTTCAAGTTTAAATATGCTAATTCAAATTGCCATGCTGCCCAAAGTAATTTATAGATTCAATGCCATCCCCATCAAGCTACCAATGACTTTCTTCACAGAATTGGAAAAAACTACTTTAAAGTTCATATGGAACCAAAAAAGAGCCCAGATCGCCAAGTCAATCCTAAGCCAAAAGAACAAAGCTGGAGGCATCACGCTACCTGACTTCAAACTATACTACAAGGCTACAGTAACTAAAACAGCATGGTACTAGTACCAAAACAGAGATATAGACCAATGGAACAGAACAGAGCCCTCAGAAATAATACCACATATCTACAACTATCTGATCTTTGACAAACCTAACAAAAACAAGCAATGGGGAAAGGATTCCCTATTTAATAAATGGTGCTAGGAAAACTGGCTAGCCATATGTAGAAAGCTGAAACTGGATCCCTTCCTTACACCTTATACAAAAATTAAGTCAAGATGGACTGAAGACTTAAATATTAGACCTAAAACCATAAAAACCTTAGAAGAAAACCTAGGCAATACCATTCAGGACATAGGCATGGACAAGGACTTCATGTCTAAAACACCAAAAGGAATGGCAACAAAAGCCAAAATTGACAAATGGGATCTAATTAAACTAAAGAGCTTCTGCACAGCAAAAGAAACTACCAACAGAGTGAACAGGCAACATATAGAATGGGAGAAAATGTTCGCAACCTACTCATCTGACAAAGGGCTAATATCCAGAATCTACAATGAATTCAAACACATTTACAAGAAAAAAACAAACAACCCCATCAACAAGTGGGCGAAGGATATGAACAGACACTTCTCAAAAGAAGACATTTATGCAGCCAAAAAACACATGAAAAAATGTTCATCATCACTGGCCATCAGAGAAATGCAAATCAAAACCATAATGAGATACCATCTCACACCAGTTAGAATGGCAATCATTAAAAAGTCAGGAAACAACAGGTGCTGGAGAGGATGTGGAGAAATAGGAACACTTTTACACTGTTGGTGGGACTGTAAACTAGTTCAACCATTGTGGAAGTCAGTGTGGCGATTCCTCAGGGATCTAGAACTAGAAATACCATTTGAACCAGCCATCCCATTACTGGGTATATACCCAAAGGATTATAAATCATGCTGCTCTAAAGATACATGCACACGTATGTTTATAGCGGCACTATTCACAATAGCAAAGACTTGGAACCAACCTAAATGTCCAACAATGATAGACTGGATTAAGAAAATGTGGCACATATACACAATGGAATACTATGCAGCCATAAAAAATGATTAGTTCATGTTCTTTGTAGGGACATGGATGAAACTGGAAACGATCATTCTTAGCAAACTATTGCAAGGACAAAAAACCAAACACCGCATGTTCTCACTCATAGATGGGAATTGAACAATGAGAACACATGGACACGGGAAGGGGAACATCACACTCTGGGGACTGTTGTGGAGTGGGGTGAGGGGGGAGGGATAGCATTAGGAGATATACCTAATGCTAAATGACAAGTTAATGGGTGCAGCACACCAACATGGCACATGTATACATATGTAACAAACCTGCACGTTGTGCACATGTACCATAAAACTTAAAGTATAATAATAATAAAATTAAAAAAAATAAAAAAATAAAAACAAACAACAACAAAAAAGAACTTAAAAAAAGTCTAGGTCTTCAGTGTACGGCAAAAAGTTATACAATAGCTTTCTTTATAAAACAGATATCTAATATGGGATATCTGCCTGTCCCATTTATGGAAAAGTGGCAACAAAACCTGCATTAAACCAGATAAATTATAGCATTTGCTATTTTATCCCCTGCAGTCAACAACTCAGCCTAGAAATTTTCAAGTTATTAGCTTTTAAGTCTTCAGTGGAGAGTCCTAAAATTATTGTATTAATCGACATAGATTAGAACTGTTATTGGTAGTATTTAGGATATTATAGGGCTTCCCTTCTACATAGAGGAGGATAATCACCTGTAAAAGTTAGAAGAAATGGAGGTCATTATATACAGCACAGAAAAAAATCTTAAAACTCCTCAGACGCATTATATTTTTCTATACTTACAATATGATATATGCAATTTAAATTTTTATTTCCATCCCTATTGATTTTATTTAGACTCTTTTTAAGTATATGAAACAGTAACTTAGTTTTAAATGGCCAGACTGTACCAAAAATTTTGAAAAAGGTATCTTTTTTCTCTTCCATTATTTATACTCCATTCTTAACTTATTATTTCATGAAAAAAAAATCTCTTTGGTCTCTGGTTTATCCTACCTGTGTTTCTTTTTTTAACAATAAATTTTATTGTGTACATTTATGGTATACAATATATTGTTAGTGAATACATATAGATAAAAAGGTTATTATACTGAAACAATTCAACGTATATTACCATCTGACATAGTTCCCCATTTTTTTTGTACATGTGGCAAGAGCAGCTAAAATCTAATCATTGAGCATGAATCTCAAATATAGTACAATTTTATTACCTATATTCCTCATGTTGTACATTAGATCTCTAATCTTGTCTGTCATATGTTTCTGCTACTTTGTAACTTCTGACTTATATCTTCTCATTTCCTTCCCAAACACCCACCCCTGGTAACCACTGTTGGGTTCTCTATCTCTGTATATTTGATTTTTTTTGTTGTTAGATTTCGCATACAAGTGAGATTACACAATACTTTTCTTTGTCTTTCTGGATGCATTTCTTTCTGCTCAAATGAACAATATTTTATATTCGATTTTCTTTTTCACATGAAGAGTATCATACTGCAGATATTCTTTAACACTTCACTTTTTCCCTGAACAATATGTCTTGGAAATCACTCTACTTTATAAAGATCTTTCCTGTCTTTTTTTATGACTATTTTATGTAGATGTACTATTATTTATTCCACTACCCTTATATGGAAGTACATATAAGTTGTTTCTAATATTTTGAAATTATAAACATTGCTTTATTGAAAAAGACTGAGAACATTTATTCATTCATGTTAGATGTGGATTCTCCCTGTCAGTGCCTATAAAGATTGCCGGGTCAAAGATAAATGTATATGTAGTTTAGTAAAATATTCCAAATTCCCCTCACAAAGTTTAAATCAGTCAGTCTATTTTCCCACCATCAATGCAAAAAGGCCTATTCTCAACCTTTTACTGAGAGAGCAGTTCATTATATAGGTTAAATTTCCCTATCTAATGGGTGATACCTGTTTTCCGAATATAGTTTTAATTCATTTTTTCATTGTGAGAGTGACCATTTTTCATATGCTTAAGGGTTATTTTTATATGTATTTTTCAGTTGGTCTTTTTATTTCTTTTATATATTTTTCTATCATTTCTATCAATTTTTTTCCTTTAAAAGTAATTTTTAATGAATTATGAAAATTTGGTATTATGTATTTGGAGTATTAGCAACTTCCATATATGTTCTCACAGTTTTCAAGTTTATTTTAAATATTTTATATAAATATACAATAAAATTGACCTTTTTGGTATACAGTTCTTTGAATTTTAGCATATGTTTAGACTTCTGTAATAACCACCATAATCAAAACACGCAACACTTCTATCAGCCCCAAAGTTTCTCTTGTGTGGTTCCTTTGTAGTCACAAACCTTTCTTTTCTCTAACTTCTGGCAACTACTGATTTGTTCTCTCCAAATACAGTTTCATTCCCAAGAATGTCATATAAATGGAGGCTTGCAGTTTGTTACAATTTGAAACTGGCTTCTATCACTTAGAGTAATGTATTTGAGATTTACCCACATTACTTATGTATACTAAGAGTTCATTAATTTGCATTACCAATTAGTATTCTATTATATGGGTGAACCATGGTTTAGTTATCTAATCACCCATTGAAGAACATCTTTGTAATTTTTAGGTTTGGGTAATTATGAATAGAGCTGCCTTTAACATTTGTGTAGATGTGTTTGTGTAAAAATAATTTACATTTTCTTAGGGTAAATATATAGAAGTGGAATTGCTGAGAAATACAATCACTATAAGTGTAACTATTTAAGAAATTGCAATGTTGTTTTCCAAAGTGGTTATACCAAATTGCATACCCAACAGCAATTCATGAAAGGTCCAGTGGAGCTGCATCCTCATACACACTTGACAGTATCAGTGTTTTTCATTTTAACCATTCTAATAGGTTTGTACTAGTATCCCATTAGGGTTTAATTTATTTTCCTCTTATAATTAAGCTTGTTGAACATGTTTGATATGGTTAATTGCTCTCTGTGTATCCCATTAGGTGAAGGATCTCTTCAAATCTTTAACCCTCTAAAAAAATTGCGTTATTGGTTTTCCTACTATTATGTTTTCAGAGTCCTTTATGTGTTCCGGATAATTTTTTTTTTTTTTTGGCAAATATTCCCTTCCATTTTTTTGATATTCTCTTAGTATCAATTTTCTTTTATTTCTTTTCAAATATTTGGCATATATTTTATTATCATTAATGAAGATTTTTCGATATTTTATACATCTATATTTTGACTCACAGTTAAAAAGCATTTTCACACTCAGGATAAAGAAGAATTCATATATTTTCTCCTAAAATATGTATGATTTTTTTTTACATCTAAAACCTTTAACTCTTCGGTTTTTATCCTTGTGTATGGTGTGAGATTTGACTCATTAAGATAGTGAGTAAAATGATGGTAACCAGAGGCTGGGAAGAACAGTAGAGAGGAGGAAGTGGATATGGGTAATGGGTACAAAAATATAGTTAGATAGAATTAATAAGATCTCATATTTGACAGCACAGCAGGGTGATTGAATCAAATTGTATGTTTTGTCAATTGATTAACAATTATCTCAATAGGATTTATTAAAAAGCTTATTATTTTCTAGAAGTTTTGTGATGTCACCCTCAATACATACTAAAGTTTTATGTCTTTTTCATGTATTCCTGGACTTCTTATTCTGTTTCTCAAGTTTACATGTCGATTCCTGCATCAGTACTACGCTGTTTTAATTATGCAGGGTATATTTTAATCACTTTTAGGCTTATTCTCCTTAAAATAATTTCTTTTTAAAAATTGTGTTTAAGATTATTTCTGCATATTTATTTTTTCATGAATATTTTAGTGTCAACTTCTTTTCTCTATGAAAAGTGTTTTGGTCTTCCAGTTATTATTGTGTTTCTATGTTTCCTTACATCTCTTCTACTTTTTATTTGGTATTATAAAGATTGTGATTGCATATTTGTTGCACAAATATTTATGTATTTTCCCCAGCTTTATTGAGGTATAATTGACCATTAAAATCTGTGTGTGTATTTAAAGTTTACATTATGTTTCAATATATGTATACATTGTGATTATCATAATTAAGCTAATTAATATATCTAGTACTTCATATAGTTATCTTAAACTTTTTTTGGTGGTTGGAATTCTCTTGGTAAATTTCAAGTATATAATACATTACTATTAACTATAGTTTCCTTTTGTACATTAGATTTCCATAACGTATTCCTCTTATAACTGAAAACAGACCGTTTAGACCAAAATCTCTTTAAAGCCTCCAACCACAAACCCTGGCAAATACCTTTCCCCTCTCTGTTTCTATGAGTTTGATGTCATAGATTTTAACTTTAGATTCCACATGTAAGTGAGTCCATGCTATATTTGTCTTTCTGTTTCTGTCTCATTACATTTAACATAATGTCCTCTATGTTCATCCACATTGTCACAAAAGACAGGGTTACCTTTTTTAAAAGGCTGAATAATATTTCATTATATAGATAACATTTTCTTTATCCATTCATCCTTTGATGGGAATGAAAACAATTAGGTTATTTTTATACCTGAGCTATTGTGAATAATGCTGCAATAAACATAGGAATGCAGATATCTCTTTGAGATACTGATTTCAGTTCCTTTGAATATACACCAAAAAGTTAGATTGGTGGATTATACGGTAGTAACAGTTTTGGTTTTTCAAGAAACCTTTGTATTGTATTTCATAATGGCTCTATCAATTTATAATCTCACTAACAATGGTAAAGGGTTACTTTTTTACCATGTCCCAGCCAACTTATCATTTAACTTTTTGATATAGCAGGCATCCTAACAGATGTGAAGTGATATCTCATTGTGGTTTTCATTTGCATTTCCCTGATGATTAGTAATGTTAAGCAATTTTCCATATACTGATTTGACATTTGTATGTCTTATTTTAAAAAATGAGTATTCAGGTCCTTTTTCCATTTTTAATTGGGTTATTTGTTATTTTGCTATTTGATTTCTATGAATTCCTTATATATTTCAGATATTAATTCCTTATCAGATATATTGTTTGCTAATATTTTCTCCCATTCTATATGTCGCCTTTCATTTTGTTTCTTCCTTTGACATACAGAAACTTTTTAGCTTAATGTAGTTTCACTTGTTTATTTTGCTTATATTGCCTTGCTTTTGGAATTATATTTATAAAATAATTTCCAAGCTCAATCTCAAGGAATTTTTCTTTCACTTATTTTTTCTGTAGTTTTATGATTTCCAGTCTTACATCTAAGTCTTTAATTCATTGATATGTTTTGCCTGTGTTTCCATTTAAATTTCATCTTGAATTGTAATTCCCATAATCCCCACGTGTCATGGGAGGGATCCAGTGAGAGGTAATTGAATCATGAGGGTGGTTACCCCCATGCTGTTCTCATGATAGTGAGTGAGTTCTCACAAGATCTGATGGTTTTATAAGGGGCTTTTCCCACTTTTTGCTCGGGACTTCTCCTTGCTGCCACCATGTGAAGGAGGATGTGTTTGCTTTCCCTTCTGCCATGAATGTAAGTTTCCTGAGGCCTCCCCAGCCACACACAATAGGGAGTCAATTAAAACTCTTTCCTTTATAAATTACCCAGTCCCAAGTATGTCTTTACTAGAAGCATGTGAACAGACTAACACAGCATTTTGAGTTTATTTTTGGATATGATGAGAGATAAAGATCCAGTTTCATTATTTTACATATAGATATCCAGTTTTTCCAATGTCATTTACTGCAGAGACTACCCTTTCCTGATTGTATGATCTTTGTACCTTGTCAAAGGTTAGTTGCCTGTACATGAATAGATTTATTTCTGTTATCTTTATTCTGTTCCATTAGTCTATATCTATATCTACTTTTAGGCCAGAACCATACTGTTTTGATTAGTATAGATTTATAATATAATTTAAAATCAGGTAGTGTGATGTCTCCAGCTTTGTTCTTTCTCTGGATTGCTTTGAATACTTTGAAACTTTTGCGGTTCCATACAAATTTTGTAATATTTTTTCTATTTCTGTGAAGATTTCCATTAAATTTTAATAGGAATATTTTGTTCATACTTATGATGCAGCTCAGGTGAATCCCAAAGTGAGGCTTAGCCTGTGAGGATTCTTGGCTTTGCTCATGAAAGAATTGAAGGGTAAGCCAGAGGTAAAAGAACATAGTTTTATTGAAGAGGCAGTGTTACAACTCCAGCGATGCTACAGCTCTATGGCTGCTCCTGCAGAGCAGGGCTACCTCGTAGGCAGAGTAGAGGTTTAGGGCAGTTTTACAGTCATATTTATACTGCCTGCAGATAAAGGGTTGGTTTATGCAGAAATTTCTAGGGAAGGGGTAAGAACTTTTGGGTCCTCAGGTCATTGCCATGGAAAGGGGCGGTAACTCCAGGTTGTTGCCATGACAATGGTAAATTGAAGTGGCACATTGGTGAGTGTATCTGATTAGAAAGCTGCTTCTGCTCTGGCCCTGTTTTAGCTACTATTCGGTCTGCTCCAGAATCCAGAGTCCAAGCCCTGCCTCTGGAAGCATGGCCAAACCTTGATAAAATGTGCTGTTTATTTTTTCACTGACAGAAAATAGAATTGAGCATTCTGTTTTAAGTTGATAGTAAGTGTATGAATTTTAATAGTTTTATGTACTCTTTTTTCTCTTTGAGTGGATGGGCACATTGCAAGATTCATATTTATACCACCACTATTACCTCAGTCACATGCTACTATTTTAATAAGACATATAATATAAAAATGACTTTGTTTAAATACCAAGTGTGCAGATTAGTATGAAATTTCTAGGTCATTATTAAATAGACTGAAATTTTGTATTGTGGATTGCTGGAGATAGTGCCCCACTGATGATTGTTTCTCTGTACTTATACAGCAAAAATACAATACCTTTCATGTAGTTGGGCTTAATAAATTTCTTTTTGAATAATTATGTCCTATGTATTCTTTCAATATTAGTCAAATTCTAGGTTTTATTCATGTGAAATCAATCCAGGTCACTAGAAATGATGTTTGGTCTTTTTTCTTAACTATGTAATCTTAGCAATATGCCAGAAGCCTGACAGTCATCAAGAAAAGAAATTCATAAAAGTCCAGGGTCTAATTTTGTTCCCAATTTGTGCTATACATGGGCTTTTTCTATTTCTTTCTTTCTTTCTTTTTTTTACAGTGGTACGTAAGTCTTCATTGTCCATCTAATTGCTTTGAGGCAGCTTCCTTCAAGGTAGACTATGCCGAGTCTAAAATTTCTGCAAGAATTGGAAAGACCAGCCAGCATAAATTTAAGATAGAGGAATAGCAAATCTCTATCATTTTGTTCTTTCAACTTTTGCCACTCAGTAAATGATGGCCTTCTGATCAGCGGAATTAGCATCTCCTAAGAATTTATCAAAATCATTCTGGGCATGGTGGCTAATGCCTGTAATCTCAGCATTTTGGGAGGCTGAGGCAGGTGGATCACTGGAGGTCAGGGGTTTGAGACCAGCCTGACCAACATGGTGAAACCCCATCTCTATAAAAAAATACAAAAATTAGCCTGATGTGGTGGTGGGCTCTTGTAATCCCAGCTACTCAGGAGGCTGAGGCAGGAGAATCGCTTGAACCCGGGAGGCAGAGGTTGCAGTGAGCCGAGATCATGCTACTGCACTCCAGCCTGGGTGACAGAGCGAGACTCTGTCTCAAAAGAAAAGAAAAGAATTTATCAAAATCACCAATCACAAATGTCAGATCCCTTCCCAGACCTACAGAACCAGAATCTGTATTTTATCAATGCCACAGGTAATTTATATAAACATTAAATGTTGAGAAGCATTGTTTTAAATTGATCAGAAAAAAGTATTCTATTAAAAGATAAGAGGGAGTAAAAAAGAAATCAAGGTCGTTTCATTTACAAGAGAGATGAAACAACATCAAGCAAAATGATGAAAGGGTGAAGGCACACCGTACTCAGACACTTTTTGCTGTCTGCCTCTGAGCATTGATTTTCTTATGTATGAAATAAAGTGGTTGGCTAACACTTATTATGTTATGTATAAATAATACACTTATTAGTTTGACAACAATGTGAATACTGTACTTTACAAAAAAGTAAAATACTTCCAACTTAAACCATAGTAAAAATGGTGATGTTCCTCCTTTCTTCCCTTATTTCTTCTTTCCATGTGTAGGAAAAGACAGCTCCAGGTCATGGAACATCTCGCTTAAATTTAAACTTTCAAAACCAAGCATAATGATGGCACATGGCAAGTTCTCAAATGTTGGTTGAATTAATCTATGCAAGGCAATCACTAAATTGGGTAATTCAGATATTTCCTACAAAAGAAAATAAGAAAATATTGCCTCTTTTAATAAAATATTTTCTTGTGTGTGTGTTAATTCAAATTTGGATGTTAGCTAATATTTTGAAACAAGCTAAGATGAAAAAGACATATATAGTTCTAGCTTACGTCCATTCGTGTGCAAATCTTTCACTACTTTGCACTTTTTAAGAGGTGCAAATGCACAACAAATGTCTGCAATAAAAAAATCTAAAAAAGATGTGAATTTACTATGCTATGTTATTTGCCTGTAAGTAGACTTAAATGCAAATCTAGCTTTATTGCTAAATAATTTGCTAAAGGTGAGCTCTAAAAAAATAAAATAAATGGTAGTAAACGAAATAATGAAATTAATGAAAACGTAAATCCTTATAGCCATACTGAGATACTGAAATGATGCATTATATGTCAAGGAAGCAAATTATTTTAAACTTATATGTGCGTGCATGCAACTGTATTCATATTTCAGGATAATCTAGAAAATGCCTAATGTTATTCTAATTTTATAGATTCAGATACCAAGACATCAATATTTAATATAATAAACTGTAGGGTCATCATATAAAATAACCTAGAATTACTAATTTTTCCCATGTGCCTGTAGGCTTGAAGTCCATCTTTCCCTTAGGTATTTTGAAAATGAATAGAACCACCTTTATTTAATCTTAAATATGTAAGATTAAATTTTAACATACAAGTGAGGTACAGAATGAAGGGTAAATTTGTTGGTTTTATTAATGGAAAAAAAGGAGGAAACTACTAAAATAAACTTTTTCTCCTATTTTGCAATTCATACCAATGTCTCTAGTGGTAGTATTGAACTTTCGATAGCCTAAGATGGACATGAGCATACAAAATAATTAGGCAAAAAGACAAAAAAAAAGGATGCTTAAGTAATAACTAGAATTTATTCTTCAACATGACCGGTATCAGAGTTCAAAAATAAATCACATTTTAATTAACTTCTTAAATATTTGCATGCAATTTCAGTACAAGTTGATCTTCAAATACACACTGCATAAGTATTCTTTAAATTTACTGAGGAGAGGTTTAATAAGTTTATGGTTATTATAAGGCTGGAAGTAATTGTTAATTACTTTTTCTCTCTTGCAACCTTTTAATAGTCTTCATGAAAATAAATTAGTCCTTTTCTATATGCATATGTTATCACCAAGCCTGGCAACTTGCTGATTACAAGGATAAAACTGAAAGAGTAAGAATTAAATCTCCCATTAAAGATTCAATCCTCTTTCCTACCTTCATCTTTCATTCTTTTATTCCTGAATCTTGTACTAGGTGAAATAATTAGGACTTTAAAGGAATTTTTTGTAGTATCTGAATGTTCACAATGAAAGATACTAATTGTACCAGATTTAATAGTTATGTGTTAGCAATATTTTTTTAAAAAAATTGGCTGTATTTTTAAATATCATGTCAGAAAAATCACTGTGACTTCATCCCGATTCAAAATGCATTTTTCCTTGCCCTCATTTTTTCACCAATACATACTATATTATTTGTTTCTTTGTTTGCTATCTTTCACTTTCTTTTCAATAACTTAAAGTATGTGAATACACATTTGTATAGGTTTGTGTTTAAACAAAAAATAATCTAAAGATGAAAGTCAAGATTTACTTGCTTGAAACCACTGCACATGTTAAATGAGAAATTCCTGGACAAGATTCCCCTTCCCAAATGTATTGTGGGGTTCCCACAGAATTTTGAGCAAAAATGTGTACATTTGAAAAGGCAGTTGAGATTCTGGCTGCAGTTTGAAAAATATGAACATTAAAAGCCATGTAAAGCAGCAGATCAGAGAAAGAGGGTAGTTAAAATTATAAAATAATTTGGAAAATAGTTTCAAATAACTGTTGTTCCATTTTTTTCAGGAGAAATATGGTTAATCCTGTCACAGTTTATAGTGCAGCCCAAGTTTTGATGGATTTGGTCAGATCTGGGTTGAAAGAAGTTTAGGCATTTTGCAACCTCCTGCTTCAAGGTTACTGGCATAATCTTAGAGTTAAGGGTAGATCTTTGCTCAAGGAAAATTATTCACTAAAAAACTGTGGACCTAAAAGCTTGTAATAAAGGGAGTGTCCTTTCAAAAGATGGCGATACAGTCCTGAGGTTCCATGGCATTTATTTTTCTTTAAGTGAACCCACAAGAAGAACCCTGAATCAGCTACTTTTTATTTAAAATGTATTATAGTATCTATGATCCAGAAGTATATAACGAAAATAGACATCTGCAATACTGTGATATAATAAGAAATATATATTTGGTCTCTATCTCTGGTTTCTGGTATAGCACTTCTAAAACCCTTGTAATTTACTCAGCAATAAGGGTTCTAGATGCATCTTTTGTTCTAACATTTGGTCTCTGACTTCGGTTTCTGATACAAAGCTCCTAATCTCTTAGAATTTTCTGGGTAATAGGAGATTCTTTTATTTCAATGAGGTGACTCCTGGTGGGCTCCTGAATGGAGGCTGTTTGTGAGAACGGCCAGTCATGATTACAAGCTGGGAATTGTTTGCTTCAACGGTCTACTCTCATCCTCCAGGAAGAGGAGATGGGCTGGATACTGAGTTAATCATTGATTATGCCTATGTCATGAAGCCTCCCTAAAAATTCCTAAAGTAGGGGTTTGAAGGGCTTCCAAGTTGCTGAACACATGGAAGTGCTGGGAGATTGGAGCCCCCAAAGAGGGCAAAGAAGCTCTCCACCTCATCCCATATACCTTGCCTTTGTACATTTTCATCTGAGTATTCATCTGTATTCTTTATAATGTCCTTTATATTAATCCAGTAAACATAAGTAAATCTTTCCCTGAGTTCTGTGAACCATTCTTGCAACTGATCAAGCTTGAAGAAGGGGTCATGGGAATTCTTGATTTATAGTGGTTGGTTAGAATTCAGGCCATAATCTGGAATTTGCAACTGGACTGTGGAGTAGGTGGTAGTCATGTGGGAGTGAAGCCTTAACTCATGAGGCCTGTGCTTACTTCTGCACTAGTTAGTATCAGAATTAAGCAAGAAAACCAGTTGGTGTCCAAGGAGGAGTGGAGATTTGCTTGGTGTAGAAAACCCGTACAGCTGGTCACAGGAGTGTTCTGTGTTGAGAACAACTGAAGAAGAAAAAGCAGTTTGTTTATCTATATGCAACATCATTATATGGTACTTATTTTATACAGATATCTTTACATTTTGTATTAGTCCATTCTCACACTGCTATAAAAAACTGCCTGAGACAGGGTAATTTATAAAGGAAAGAGGTTTAATTTGCACAATTCCACATGGCTGGGGAGGCCTCAGGAAACTTATAATCATGGCAGAAGGGGAAGCAAATGCGTCCTTCTTCATATGGCGGCAGGAGAGAGAAATGCTGAGCAAACGGGGAGAAGCCCCTTATAAAACCATTAGGTCTCGTGAGAACCTAATGCTAGCATGACAACAGCAGCATGGAGGTAAACATCCCCATGATTCAATTATCTCCCACTGGGTCCCTCCCACAACAGGTGGGGATTATGGAAACTACAATTCAAGATGAGATTTGGGTGGGGACATAGCCAAACCTTATCACACTTTAACCAAGTCACCCCATTTTATTTTTCAGATTTATAAAGTGCCTCAGCATCGTTATATGCACACATATACATGCTTACACACATATGCACACACACACACCATTCGAAAATAAGTTGGTACTTTTTCCTTAATGATTCCTTAATTTTTTAAGCAACATTAGGGATTATAAGGTTTAAGAGATTCTGCTTTTCTTTTCTAGAATTTTTGTATTTATTTAAAGAAAGCTTCCAACACTGCCTGAACTTATTTATGTGCAGAAGTTCCTCCTTTCTCTTTCTGAAAAGCCAGGATCTATTATTTTTCTTCTTCAGTAATTTAATGAAAGAAGAGTTTTCTTGACATTTTTGCCGTAAATCTATAATGCTGTCATCTACATCTACATTTTTAACCCTTGTCATATACCATGTCAAAGGTATTGCTGGCCAAGTAGCTGATTGTGAATAGAAAAGTATGTAAGTTAGTGGACTCTGTCCCTGAAGCTGATCATATGCGTTTTTAAAACCTGTGACATCAGTATTGTCTAGCATAGTAGTCATTTGCAGATCACATTGAGTTTGAGAGAAAAGGAAAAGACTGTGTTACAGCCTGTGCCATAAATACTCCTCTGCTGCAGGCATTTAACCCTCTTTCCACTAGGGAAGGAAATATAGGGCGAAGGATTTGATGTTTCCTAAGTACCAGGTGGCAGCTAGGAGATGTCCAAATACTTTCTATAGTCCACAAACATTTTTTTACATATATCCAGAAACCAAATGAAGCAAGATTTTTAAACCTCATTTTACTGTGAAAAAAAAATAGGCCAAGAGAAATTTAAAATATTTTCTTTTACTTAAATGGGGAGTAAATCTTCAATTCAATAATGAATTGCTGAGAGTTTTCAAACTTGGCATGCCCAGTATATTACAGGGGGTTGGTCTTTATTAAAAGCAGGTGTCATTTCTGTGGTTGTCTTATGTCTTGAGAGATGCTCAACATGAATTATTCCCTAGACAACAAGGGCTTATTCCAGTGGCCTCTTTCAAGGACTCTTAAATGTCATAGTATTTGATTAATTTTACATTTTTATAAGATTTAAAATTATCTGAAGAGTCCAGTAGTGCCTTCATCCCTACCTTCAGTATCTATAATCTTATTACAATTTTGACAATAATGCTTTTTAATTGTTTCTTTCCAGAAAACTATTTGGTGGTGTTTGCTTGTCAATTAACTTGCAACACATTTATCTGTGTGAATATGTATATATTACAAATTTAAAATGACAATGAAGCATCCTCTTAAGGCCTAATATCCCCATTCTGTATATGCTGTAGTGGGAAGATGTAATCAGTATTATTGTTTGTTAACAGTTTAGTTTTACACATGCAGATGAGTGATGAATAGCAACAATAATTTAGAATTCATTATATGTCTTCTATAAAATTTAAGGACAAATTCAGGATGGCTCCATTTCCAACGATGTTCATTAACGTGGTGTTACTAAGAAACAGAAAGAAATGGCAGTGCAGCTGCTTATACTTATATTTAGAACAGAGTAACTATGCATGATTAAAAGTAACCATATACTTTTTAGACAGTAGCCTTAGTTTTATTTAAATTATAACAGACGTACATTATCTAATGGATCAGACAAACAATAAATTATTGTCAGGGTAGAAATATTGGCTGGCATTTTGGTCCTACGTGAACTAAAATAACTCTATATTTAACAGATTATTGTAAAAAAGATATATATAAAGTAAAAAATATATATTTATATATATACACACACACACACACACACACACACACACAGACTTTTTTTGACAAGGGTACAAAGACAATTCAACAGAAAAAAATTCTTTTTATCAATTATGCTGAGAGAAATGGAAATCCACAGGCAAAGAAAGAAATTGGACCCCTACCTAACACCATATACAAAGTTAACTCCAAATGTATCGGACACTTAAATGTACGAGCTAAAACTATACAACTACTGGAAGCAAACAGATGCTGCTGTCTTCCCGACCTTGAATTAGGCCATGATTTTATGGATATAATTACAAAAATCTCAAGTAGTCAAATAAAAAGTAGATAAATTTGACTTTACCACAATTAATCTTTGGTGCCTTAAAGTATCATCAGGAAAGTGAAAAGACAATCCACTGAATGAGAGAAAATACTTTTAAATTTTTATGTATCTAGAAAGAGACTTGTATCTAGAAGATATAGAGTTATTTCTATCCAACTCTAAAGGTACAAATGGCTCAATTAAAGTAGGCAAACTATTTTAATAGCCATTTCCTCAAAGATAAATAAAAATTGTCAATGTGTCTGAATAGCTGCTTAAAATTATTAGTCCTTATAGTAGAGCAAATCAAAACCACAATAAAATATCTGCTTATATTTACTAAGATAGTTATAGTAACAACAATAATAAGGTCAATACTGTGTTGCTGAGGACCTGGAAAAACTGGATCCCTCATATAATGCTGGTGGCAATTTAAAATAATGTAGTTGCTTTGGGAAAACAGTTTGGCATTTTTTCCAAAGTTAAACATAGAGTTACTATATAACTCAGCAAGTTCACTGCTAGTTAAAAATGCTCAAGATAATTGAAAACATATGCCAACACAAAAACTTTTACACAAATGCTCAAATGCTCATAGCAGCATCATTCATAATTGTCAAAAAAGTGAAAACAACAAGAAAGCCTATCAGTTGATGAATAAATAAACAAAATATGCCATATCCACATAATGGAATGTTATTCAGCTATGAAAAAGTACGGTACATGCTAGAACACTAAGGAACTTTAAAAATATATGATTAGTGAATAAAAGCCAGACACAAAATGCTACATATTCTATCATATGAAATATCCAGAATAGGCAAATTTATTGAGACGGAAGGCAGATTAATGTTTGCCAGGGACTAGAAAGAGGGGAAAATTAAGAATGGCTATTAATATATGTGAATTTCTTTTAGAGGTGATAAAGATATTTTAAAATTAGAGAATAGTGATGGTTGTAAAATTCTGTGAGTCTACTATTGGAATTTTACATTTTAAAAGAATGAATTTCATGGTATATGAATTAAATCTCAATAAAACTAACAAAAATTATATATAATATTTATTATTAAGAAACTTGATTACTGTATCAGAAGCTAGGATTATCTTGAGGTTCATGGAACAGACAGTAAATGGTTTGCAGATGGAATAACTTATTAAAAATTCTTCTGAATTTCATGAAGGCAGAATGAATTGGATGTATAAGAAATCAGACAAATATCTGGAGACTCTTCTATAACATGCAGTATTACATCTTCGAATAAAAAGATTGAATTATAAAAAATATTTTAAGTATAAAATTATCAGAGTATAATTACTGATTAGACAGTGAATCTAAAGAATAATAAGAAGTCATCTGTGATGTCATGTTTTCAAGCTTATGAAAAGAAAATGGAAATCAGGTAAATTCTGGAAATATAAACTTTACTGCCATCTGCCCATAGGTCACAACTAAATGCAATAAGTTTTTGTTCTTTTCTTTTTTGTGTGAGTGGTATTGATTTACGTATGGACTTTGCAGGTAAATTCCACTCTTCAATGGGTAGTCCATTAGCAGCAGCCTATTTTTTTCAAGTTTATTTTTTTCCTTGGCCCTAAACCATTAAAATCATAGCATAGGGCAGTACATTTTGAGCTTGGAGTGACACTTCATTACTGCATATAGGGAACAGTTTCTGTAAAAAGAATACCCGGTGCAATTAAAAAATAGGAAAATGTTGCTGTTACAAAAGCTGTTGCTGCTGACTGAAAGATGAAGTAAAGGAGAATCTGTTGGTCCCTTCATCATGACTGGACAAACTATTTATGTGAACATACAGTGGAGAAAAACCTGTTTTTCAAAACAAGGATACACACAGGACAAATCTTAAGATTCATGGATTTCTATTCAACAAAACACAAAAACGAAGGAAACAGATGGGGTGACAGTCTGGGCTTTGATATTTACAACCTCTACAATCCACAAGGGATTAGCATCAGGAATTTAGGAGGAACTTTTGTAAATCAACTAATAAAACACATAAAAGGAAATTGAGCAAAGAATATGAATATGATGAGAAAATAAACTAAACTAGAAAAATTTAGATGTAATTAAAACAGAATTAGTAAATTTACAGTAACAGAAATTGATATTAATATAATAATGAGATAGAAGATCTTTTAAGAAAACCTGGTTGGCAAAAATTAAAAGAATACCAAATGTTGGGGATCTGGTAAATGACATTAAATCATAGCAGGATTGTAAATTGATTATATTTTTTAAAATAAAATTTGCAGAACTTGATAGGATTAAGTAGCATGGGTGGGGCTTGGTGGCTCACCTCTGTAATCTCAGCACTTTGGGAGGCCAAATTGGACAGATCACTTGAAGTCAGGAGTTCAAGACTAGCCTGACCAATATGATGAAACCCCATCTCTACTGAAAACACAAAAATTAGCCAGGTTTGGTGGTGGGCGCCTGTAATGCCTGCTACTCAGGAGGCTGAGGCACGAGAATTGCTTGAACCTGAAAGGCAGAGGTTGCAGTGGACTGAGACCACATCACTGCACTCCAGCCTGGGCGACAGTGGGAGACTCCGTCTCAAAAAAAAAAAGTAATAATAGTAATAGCACGTATTAGTGTCCCAGAAATTCATTCCTAGGCATTTACCCCCAGAGAATGTCTCTTCCTGATATATAAGATAACAAGGAGATGCTAGTTAAGCCTGTCAAGTTAACATAAAGTTAATTATCACTATTTATATTTATTAATGCACTTTAATTTGTAGTTTCTATTTTACCTGCTCTCTTTTCTACTTTTCTCCCTAAACATTGGACATATTTTCTCTCTTGTTCTGCATTTTAAAAATTGATTGATTTCTTATTTCACTTTTTTCTCTACTCACTTAAAAACTACATACCCTATTTCTATCAATTGTGTTGTTAAAATTTTTAAATTCATATTTGATCAGGTCCAAGAATAATCATTATTACTTCCCTCCTCCTAAAAAAAGATAATAGTCTTAAATGTTTCTGTGGACTATGCTTATACTTAGTCTATGCTATAGTTTATCATTTTTGATTTTACTTAAAATTTTAGACTTAAGTATGATAGTGTTTTACTGACGTTGATATTTAATCCATATTTACTACTCTTTTTTCTTATTATTTCTCTTGCATCCCAGGATTATTTTAGGTATTACTTTCCATTTTTCTCCTTTCTGAGGACACAATTTAGAATTTTATTTTTATAAATTTTTAGCCTTCATAAGTATTAACCACAAATAACAGTTTGTAGTCATAAAAGGTAACTTGGCAGTTGTTTCTCTGAACACTTTAAAGCTATTCTTTCATTCCATATATATATTTATTTTTCTTGAGACAGGGTTTCACTCTTGTCTCCCAGGCTGGAGTGCAATGGTGCAATATCAGCTCACTGCAACCTCTGCCTCCGAGTTCAAATGATTCTCCTGCCTCAGCTTCCCGAGGAGCTGGGATTACAGACACCACCATGTCTGGATAATTTTTGTAGTTTTAGTAGAAATGGGGTTTCACCATGTTGGCCAGGCTGGTCTCGAACTCCTGACCTCAGATGATTTGCCCACCTTGGTCTCCCAAAGTGCTGAGATTACAGGCATAAGCCATGGAACCTGGCCCTCCTTTTACATATTTATTATTAGCATGTGTCCTGTGTATGAATAACCTTTTCCCTCATATAATATCTTACTTCTCTTTAGTTGTTTTTAAGATATATTTTGGGGGTACTGCTTTTTGGTACTCTAAATTGCCTGAGTTCTGTCTAGTTTGGTACAAAATTAATTTTATTTATCCCTGTTAGGGTTAGTAGAGAAATCAAAATCTAAAGATTCATGGAAGAGAAAATCCAAATGGTCATCACAGTTTATTCAGAAAAAGTACTAAATAATATTTAATAACTATTTAGGATTTTTTAGAAACATAAAACTACAAAGAGAAGAAAACTTCCTCAGTCTGCTAAAGAGTATTGTACCAAAACCCCCCAAACTACAGCTAATACACTAACCAGGTTCATTTTGCCCATGCACACTGAACCAATCACTGTGATGACTGATTTTGCAAAAGAAAAAACATTTATTCACAAGGCAGCCAAGCAAGGAGGCGGAACAGTTCTTAAATCCACTTCCCTGAAGATAAGGCTTGTGAATATTTATGGATTAGAGAAGAATGTGGTCTAAGACACGAGGAAAGGT